>NC_000003.12:61828181-62131212 GCF_000001405.40 Homo sapiens | reverse complement strand
GACATCAAGGTAGAGGCCAGAGCTGCTGCTAAACATCCTATAATGCTCAGAATAGCTCTCTACAATATCTTTTCTGGCTAAGATGTCAGTGGTGCAGAGGTTGAGGGTCAGAAGCCCTCATTAGATGCTCTATGAGTTAATAGTGATTATATCTTAATGTCTAGAGCGTAAATTCAGAATACAGGTGCTACTAAACACAGGATTATGTTTATAGACTAATAAAATATGTGGAATTTGCTACTACATTGTAAACATTACAGATAAAAAAAAAAAATCAGTGAATAGGAACCCAGTGTATCAGACCATAAAGGTGGAATTCTGGGAGTTGGCATAAGTGTGCCTACAAATTGCCTGAGAAGAAGCTCAAGCCAGGGACTGAAGCGTGAAACATTCTTGAAAGGTAACTGCACAGAATACACCAAATCAAAATTGCATTAGAAGAAACATCGTATTTGTACCTTAGCAAGTAATTGATCAAAATTTTAAAACCTGGTCAAAAATGGAATTACAGCTCAGGAATGCAAGAGAAGAGAACCTAACCAGTAAAAGTGGCCAAGTTTCAAGAGGCCAGAATAGAATAAAATAAGGATCCCAGAGAATGATTCCATACCAAATTGAAGCTATAGACAAAAAGATGGTCCCTTTGATTCATTCTGGTGGGGATGCCAGCTTAACTATCTGTAGTTAGTTACTCTAATATCTGTGAGAAATGACAAAATGGCCACAAATTCCCTCTATCCCTGTTACATGTGCCTTTACAACTTGACTTTGCCCTCCTCTATGGAAAGTGTACACCAATTATTCCATTCTTTGAAATTGGGCTTGTCCATATGTCTTGCTTTAGTGAATGGAGAATTAGTGAACATGATGCAGACACAAGCTCATAAAACACTCAGATTCTTTGGAATCCTAAGATCAAATGAAGAATTCCAAGTTAGCCTATTAAAGGATGAGCGACTACAAGGAGTAGACATAGGTAGTCCTAGCTAACGTTCTTCTAGACTCACTGGCCTGCCATCACCAGACAGGTGAGTGAGTCCATTTGAGACCATCCAGCCTCAGTGGAACCATCTGCAGTCCACAGAGATGGGCTGAACTAGCCATACCCACAACTGACCAGCCAACCTACTGACCCATAAAACGATCTGTTTTAACTAACTGGAATCATTTGGTACACAGCAAAATTTAGCCATTAGTTTCCATGAGTTGTATGCAAAGGTAAAAAATGAGAAACAGGCTATGATACCAGTAGTTTTTTGAAACAATATATCTGGCTTACGGTTTGTCTTAAAAGTTTCCCAGTAATATTCCACATCACAAGACACAACATTTGCTGGCCACCTGATCAACTCATGTGCTCCTCCAAAAAGGTGTTATCCCTTCTCTACCATGGCAATGTTTCTCAGATACTCTGATCTTGGATCCTGAATGAGAGGGAATATTTTATAGTCAGGGGGACCACTATGGTTTGAATGTATCCCCAACATTTCACGTGTTGGAAACTTAATTCCCAGTGCAACAGTGTTGAGAAGTAGGACCTTTAAGAAGTGACTAGGTCATGAGGGTTCTGCCCTCATGAATAGATTATCATCATTATTGCTAGAGGGAATTTGTTATAAAAGTGAGTTTGGCCCCCTTGCAACCCCCTCTTGCTCTCTCACATTCTCTCTCTTGTTCATGTGATACGCGTTGCCATGGTTACAATGCAGCAAGAAAGCCTTGCCAGATGTCAGGGCCATTCTCTTGGACTTCTCAGCCTCCAGAACCGTTAACCAAATACATTTCTGTTCATTATAAATTACCCAGTGTGGCATTCTGTGACAGCAGCACAAAAAAGACTACGACAGGAACTTTTTAATGCATTTAGTATTATCTGATAATGTGAAGGCTCAAAGAAAGTGTTTCTAATCTTCCATGACTGATACACACCAATAATATTTGTAGGCTATGCAAAAGGAAAACAACCAGTCAACCTAGCCCAGGTTCAATTTTTGGTCACTTCTGATTACAGCTTCTCCATGTCTGATACTCAGACTTCACCTCATCTGAGCTCAGGAACGTGACCCCAGATTCTAAACAACTGCACAAATGCAAAGCCTTCTACAACATCCATTCAGCTCCCATCGTCTTCACTGGTGGTTAATATGGCTGGGGTTGAGAAGATGAATGAGGAGAAAAGGAGAGAAAATGGAGATTATTGGCTGGTCAAAGTAACTTACTAATAATACTGAGCTCATTCTCTGGTCTATGTCTTGGTTCCAAAAGTCAGGGTGGGGAATCCAAAGAGCATGCTAATAAGTGGATTTGTTCCAGTCAGGCATAACCCTAACTGAAATAATCCCTTTCACTCACTGTTTCAATCAATTTGCCACTTAAAAAAAAATTCATGGGCATAAGCTAAGCAATTTTGGCAGCTTTTAAATATGACAACAGTGAAGAGGGCTGTATTAGCAACCTGTGTTTACATTTTATTCTCCATCTAGGATGCAGGAGGCCAGGGATGGGGAAAATATGGAATTCTGAGTCAGGTATGGATGCTTTCAGCTTTAGTGTCCTTGTCTGTGAAATGGGGATACAGTCTCATAATGTTGTCATGAGGATTAAACGTTTAAAGTTTAGAGTATAATGCTGAGTACAAATGCCACATCCAATAAAGGACAATAACACCGGGCAACAAGTTGACCTAACACTTGAATTTAAATGAATGACAAACAAATGCAATTTATCCCTGAGCTTGTCAATGTGCTTGGCTCTGAAAGTAATATCTCCCTGAGTTCAAATTTCAAAAGATCCAAATTTATGTTTTACTTGACATCCACTCAATTTTGTAATATGCTGTTCCTTTTAAAGCCACATGAGAAGTGATCCTGGCTCTTGAAATTTGCTTCCTTCCACTTTAAGATCAAAGGAGTTATGCAGTAATACGGAGAAGGCAGCAATTGCACAAATGAGCTTAAAATGGACTAGAAGAAACAGACACCCCCTTTCCCTGCAGAGTTCGTACTCTCATTGCAAAACTTCGCTCCTGGCACTTCCACTTCAGAGCAGCTTTCGTGGCATTAGTCATCTTCAAAAAGATGGCACACAAACTCGAAAAAGGGCTCTGAATTAAAGCTTTTCAGTTGTCTTTAGATACAACCAAAGTATATAGAGATACTGACAATACAGAAAAACCATGAAACCTAGGTTCGGACTGAAGGCCAAATTCACATAAACGCTCATGAAATCTAAACTTCGTAACATTTTCTTTTCAATTAATAGCCCACCATAAGGATCCACACAATTATCAAATTAGTAGCCAAGCTATCAATAATCTCTAGAGATATGTTTACCTGGAGGCTCTACAGGAGGGCCTGTGTTTACTCTTGCTTGAAGTAAAATGAAAAGGAAGCACAGAGACCCCATCAGACGACATGTGCCTGCGTTCAGATATGTGCTGCCATTTACTTCTACTGTCCCCCATGCCATTTGGCCCTTGACTTGGATCCTAATAATTTTTGCTCTATCAAGTCCTGGCCATCTGCTAAATAGGATGGTCAAGACAACCTACTTGCCTTGAATCCGACACCGCCAGCTGCTCCTTTAGTTCCATAAACATCACATCCAGCCGATATCCTCTTGTGGGAAAAAAGGATTTATGCATGCTGAGGGTGAATGGCTATACCGTTAACCATGGCTGCAGAGGAAAGTGACAAAGGGCAGGACCAGAGACTCCACATGGCCTTCCAGAATTGCAGAGAAGAGGATTCACCCACCCCAGCAGTTAGCAGGTAACTGTGTATTCAGAAGCTAATTTGCTGTATGAGGACAAGGGCAAGCACTTCTCAGGATGTTTGATTTCACATCTGAATCTCCCCTCCTTCCGTGGCTCTTACCTAAAGAGCCACGTGGCAAGGATGCTGTAGCTTCTTTCATTCTGACTTCAACATCCTAGTGACCACTAACTAGATTTTGGTTCACGTTGCTGTCAGAAAGCATTTATAATGTGGTTATTTTGCATCCTTGCATTTTGGTTAGCCCTTACCCAGAAAGAGATCACTGCCTGGCTTCCTTTATTAATAAGTTAAACACTTGGCAATAATTTAGGAAATGTGGCCATGTTCAAGAAGACAATTTTAGCATGAAACCACTAACCACTGAGCTATATTGAAAACAATTTTCTTTTCCTGACTTTTCTTTTTAGTCTTCACAAATATTACCTTCCTTCTTGTATAGCCAATGGTCTTAGTTTCTGATATAGAAATGTAGTTTTTCCCTTTTGACATTCCAACATCATTTTCTAGTGTCTCTTATCACTGCTGCAATGTGATATTACAAAAAGCAGAATCAGAGATGTTGGCACATGTGGCATCCCAAACTGCCATGAAATAAGTCGGAGAGGAATACAGAGACACAATTGAGAGTGATGAATGGCAAAGGAAAAAGGAGCTCTGTAAACCTGTAGGACTTTTCATGAAATCCCGATAAAGATGAGTAACCAAGTGTGGATTCCTGGTCTAGAGAATTGCTTTAAATGCAACTACTAAATTCCAGGATCATACATTAAGCCTAATCTAACAGATAAGCAAAATGTCACCGAGGCCTCTCACAGAAGTGCCCCTGACTGAAGCAAAAGGTATGGCCCTGTATCATCATCTATTTTCCAGGATTTGACAGGGACAGACTCCTAGGACTGGTTTCCATCGGCAAATGAGAAAACTCCTAATTCCTCAGCCTTGGGAAGGGATTAATATGAAAACAAAACACAATTATAAATGCTAATAGGATTCACCCTCCCCACTTCAAACGCAGCTTGAGCACGGACATGGCTTACTTACTGTTAATTCATAATATTAATGGAAACTAGTTAATTCACAGGTTATTCATCTCCAGAGAATTGAGATTCATGGTCAGAGAAGGCCACTTGAGGAAATGAATTTTGTGCTTTTGATCTACTTAAACTGACCATTCTCTGGCCTCCTGCCCCTGCCTCCCCAACCCACCAGAGTATTTACCATCTCATTGTCAGACTTGGCTTGGAGGAGTGCATTACTGGAAAAACCAATCCCCGCAGGGTGACAGCAAGGCTGGTAGCAAATCCGTACAAAATGGCAGATTTTGCCAGGAGCAGTCTTGCAGATTGTCAATACATGCAATTTCTCATTTTCATGAGGATCAAACTTTGGATTCTCTCAACACGCCATTTCAAAGCCAGAGCAGAAGAGAGGGAGGAAGTGGGATGGCTGGGGTGCCTGGCAAATGGTACTCCCGTGGGGGCCCGCATGGTGATTTTTGTCCTTCTGTCTTTTTAATACACTGTGTTTCAGAGACAAGAAGGTTTTGGGAAAGGCTTTACAGCATTTCAAGCCGGGGTCCCAGAACCTGTCTGTCCCACCCCTGCCAATCTTCTCAAAGTGCAGGCTGCTCCTGAACCGGAGAGGTAAAACAGAAATTCCAGCTTTGCAAAGCATGACCTAGAGTCTTAAGCTACGTTGCAAACTGTTTCACACAGATATTGTCATGACGTTTGAATTTAAAAAAAAAAAAAAAAAAGGTATGAGATCTGGGGAAGCCTGGGGCAAAAGGAGCTTATTTCAGGTTCAGTGACTTGCCTACAAGTTTCTCCTGATTCTGTGTGGCAGTGCTGGACAACTTTGACTTTCCCTTGTTAATAATCCCGCCATACACTGAAAAGCCCCAACAATATCAAAGGCTTAGTGGAGAAGGCAGAGCCGACTGTTTTCACATGTAGCAAGTGACTTCAACCAAAACACATTAGATGTGAACTCTCACCCTTGTTTTTTCATTCCCTGGAAGCAAAAAGCTACTCAGGGGCACTCCATTTACAAAAGGCTCGAAATCCAGAAAACACTGAGTGGGGATGGCTTTAAATTCCCATCATGCATGCAGCATGAAAAATATAAGAGACAAGGCACATTGGATCAAACAGGTTGCCAGGTTGATCCTTCTTTTGAAAAAGAATCCCTCCATAGGAGTAGGTAAGATTATCATTTTGCAGTATTAGGAACGGGGGAAGACCATGTAAATATCATGTAGGTATCATATGTAGAATGTTAAAATGACGTAAATGACCTTAAATACCCCTTTATAGTTATATAAAAAGGTGACAGGGGGACAAAGCTAGGGGCCCTCAGCTCAAATTATAAGCACTGGCTCCTTAAACTCATTGATTCAACCAATATGTACTGAATTCTACTGCAGACTGTGATGGGCTCACTCTAAGATGATCCTTCAAAGACCCCTGACTCCAGGTATTCAGACCCTTATGTAATCACCTTCCCTTGAGGGTGGGCTAGATCTAGTGGCTTAGTTTTATTCAGTAGAATAAGGCAAAAGCAATGTTATGAAAGATTCTGGCCATGCGCAGTGGCTCATGCCTGTAATCCCAGCACTTTGGGAGGCTGAGGCAGGAGGATCATTTGAGGCCAGGAGTTTGAGACCAGCCTGGGCAACACAACATCTCTAGAAAAGAATTTTAAAAATTAGCCAGTGTGATTCTGAGCCAAGTCCGGTGCCAAGCGCAGCTAGCTCAGCAGGCGGCAGCGGTGGCCTGAGCTTCAGGACAGCCAGCTCCCTCCCGGTCTCACCTTCCCTCGCGGTCAGCATGAAAGCCTTCAGTCCCGTGAGGTCCATTAGGAAAAACAGCCTGTTGGACCACCGCCTGGGCATCTCCCAGAGCAAAACCCCGGTGGATGACCTGATGAGCCTGCTGTAAAACATGAATGACTGCTACTCCAAGCTCAAGGAGCTGGTGCCCAGCATCCCCCAGAACAAGAATGTGAGCAAGATGGAAATCCTGCAGCACGTCATCGACTACATCTTGGACCTGCAGATCACCCTGGACTTGCATCCCACTATTGTCAGCCTGCATCACCAGAGACCCGGGCAGAACCAGGCATCCAGGATGCCGCTGACCACCCTCAACACGGACATCAGCATCCTGTCCTTGCAGGCTTCTGAATTCCCTTCGGAGTTAATGTCAAATGACAGGAAAGCACTGTGTGGCTGAATAATCATGACTTCTTTTTTTTCTTTGCACAACAACGACAACAACAAATTCACAGAACCTTTTAAGCGCTGAACTTATTTTTCAACCATTTCACAAGGAGGACAAGTTGAATGGACCTTTTTAAAAAGAAAAAAAAAAGGGAAGGAAAACTAAGAATGATCATCTTCCCAGGGTGTTCTCTCACTTGGACTGTGATATTCGTTATTTATGAAAAAGACTTTTAAATGCCCTTTCTGCAGTTGGAAGGTTTTTTTCATATACTATTCCCACCATGGGGAGCGAAAACGTTAAAATCACAAGGAATTGCCCAATCTAAGCAGACTTTGCCTTTTTTCAAAGGTGGAGTGTCAATACCAGAAGGATCCAGTATTCAGTCACTTAAATGAAGTCTTTTGGTCAGAAATTACCTTTTTGACACAAGCCTACTGAATGCCGTGTATATATTTATATATAAATATATCTATTTAAGTGAAACCTTGTTAACTCTTTAATTAGAGTTTTCTTGTATAGTGGCAGAGATGTCTATTTCTGCATTAAAAAGTGTAATGATGTACTTATTCATGATAAACTTTTTATAAAAGTTTAAACTTTTAGTTGTAAACGTAACCCTTTTATACAAAATAAATCAAGTGTGTTTATTGAATGGTGATTGCCTGCTTTATTTCAGAGGACCAGTGCTTTGATTTTTATTATGCTATGTTATAACTGAACCCAAATAAATACAAGTTCAAATTTATGTAGACTGTATAAGATTATAATAAAACATGTCTGAAGTCAAAAATAAAAAACATTAGCCAGTGTTTGGTGGTGCACATCTATAGTCCTAGCTACCCCAGAGGCTGAGACGGGAGGATAGCTGGAGCCTGGGAGTTAGTGGCTACAGTGAGCTATGATAATGCCAAAAGGAAGTGACAGCAGCCTTTGGCCAACAGCTAAAGAGAAGCTAAGCTCCTCAGTCAAATAGCCCTTGAGGAACTGGGTTCTGCTAGCAATCTAAGTAAAATTAGAAGTGAATCATTCCCCAGTTGAACTTTCGGATGAGATCATAGTCCCAGTTGACACCTTGATTGTAGCTTTGTGAGAAACCTTGAATCTGAGGACACACAGAAACTGAGATGATAAATGTGTGTTATTTTAAGCTGCTGAGTTTGTAGTAATTTGCTCCATATCAGTAGATAACCGTATGCCAAGAACTGAGTAGCGGAATAGAATACGTCATTGAACAAATCACAGTGCTCTGCCCTCATAGAACTGATGATCTAGTTCTAGCTCCCACAAGACAGGTTGGGGGCCCTGGCTTCTGTAATGAACCCACACAACACCATTTTCCTTACACTGCTGCATCAGCTATCAAAAGGCATTTCCCCTCCTTCTAGATGAGTTCTTGCCCCTCATGGACCTCAGCTGCTATGTCACCGTTTCTAGAGTTTGAAAAGAAGCAGTTTGTTTAAAATCCAAGTTCCAACCAAGAAAACTTGGCAAAAATAATGAGCGAACCCCAAATGGAGCAAATAAACATCGATAATCAATTCTGGGATATAGAATTTTCAGTAGCTTTTATGTTTAAACAAACATAGAAAACCAATTAATTGCAGCACAGAACCTAAGTGAAAGGTGCCACTGAACAAGTCACAGAGTGTTATGCAGTGGCGTGGGTGCTGCTGTTTCATATCCACAGCAATTAAGTGTAAACTAATTACATATCCTAAAGCTTTTTTTTCTTTTAAGAGGGGGTAGTTTTACTCTGTGCTTTCTTGGAGCACTGAATGATTGCTCTCATAATGTAGTCTCTGCAGATTAAGTATCAATTCACTCTCCTAAGCAATACCTCACAGGCCATTCCCTATTCCAAACCATGGGCTCATGGAAGGGGTTTGCTGCCTGATACTACAAGAGAAACTTAAGCTCCTTGTCATCATCCTCTATGAAATAAACCTGCTAACTCACCTAAACATTGTACTTCATTCACAGACAAACTAGTGAAAACTGTTTTTAGGGAGCTACTGTTAAAGCTGTCGGAGCATTTGATTTAAGGGTCTCAGTAAAGCTATGTTTTTTCAGGGTGGGGGGTTACAGATAGCTTATTTAAGTAGACAAACATCTCAAAATCCACAAATTAGGGAAATTCCTTTCTGGGAAGAGGCAGTCTAAACAAAATCCAGCCCCATCTCGAGGAGGACATAGATTAATGCTAACTGAAGAGTTCAGCTTTGTATTTAACATGCACCTGAGTTCAACAGAGGTTAAAATTAAATTGCAATGAGGAAAGACAAAATCTTTCCTGGCAGGCCTTGATTGATAGAACGTGCCATTTGTAGCAGAACAAAATGGAAAACCAGAAAGTTTGTTCCCAGCAATCATTTCCTCACTGGGCCAACTCTCTCTCCTCTGAGAAAATAATATGATTTCTTCATAGAGCATGTAGTCTACTTATTTAAGCAACTGTGCTCAGGATCTTTCAATTCTTCCAGCAGTTTGGATGGAAAAAAATGGTCCCAGTAGGGGAGAGGGTGGTGTAGGTAACATTTAGCCAGGAAGAGGCTTATCTTATGAAAACTGCCATTGACAGTAACCTGGGAATAAGTAACTCCATAGAAAACGTGCAGATGGATCCCCTGTAGGTGAACACGATGAGCTCATTTTAAACTGCAAGCTGGGTACCTAAGACTAGTGTAGTGGTTAAGTACAGGGTTTCTGAAACCAGGATGCTAGAGCCCGATTCACAACCCAGCTCTTCTACTTAGCAGCTGTATAGTCATGGGAAAGTGAATTACAATCTAGTTGTGCCTCAATTTCCTCATATGTAATGTTGAGATCACCCCCCTGAAAAACCTCATAGGGTTGTTAAGAGGATTAAATGAGTATTTAGCACAGTTCCTAACACATCCAAGATCCGTGAGTATTTAGCACAGTTCCTAACACATCCAAGATCCTTAAAAGCTGTAGCTATAGGCTGGGCGCGGTGGCTCACGCCTGTAATCCCAGCACTTTGGGAGGCCGAGACGGGTGGATCACGAGGTCAGGAGATCGAGATCATCCTGGCTAACATGGTGAAACCCCGTCTTTACTAAAAATACAAAAAAAAAAAAAAAATTAGCCAGGCTAGTGGTGGGCGCCTGTAGTCCCAGCTACTCGGGAGGCTGAGGCAGGAGAATGGCATGAACCCGGGGGGCACAGCTTGCAGTGAGCCGAGATAGGGCCACTGCACTCCAGCCTGGGCGACAGAGCTGGCTGTCTTGTGAAAAAAAACCTATAGCTATAAGCCATTCTTTCTCCCAAATAAGCAGGCATGCCCTGCTGGTACCCAACCAGGAACACACAAAGTTCCAAAAATACTCCAACTTCTGGCTATAGACAGGTCAATCATTTTTGAGTCCTGAACTAAATTCAGTCAATCACAATCGTCTACCCACACCCCAATCTTTCATCTTCCAATCTTTTTCTTTTTTTTTTTTTGAGATGGAGTCTTGCTGTCACCCAGGCTGGAGTGCAGTGGCACTATCTCGGCTCACTACAACCTCCACCTCTGGGTTCAAGCGATTCTCCTGCCTCAGGCTCCCCAGTAGCTGGAATTACAGGTGCATGCCACCATTCTTGGCTAATTTTTGTATTTTTAGTAGGGATGGGGTTTAACCATGTTGGCCAGGCTGGTCTCGAACTCCTGACCTCAAGTGATCCACCCACCTCGGCCTCCCAAAGCACTGGGATTACAGGCGTGAGCCACTGCACCTGGCCTTCAATCTTTTATTTTAATACAATTTTAACATTTTTCCATCCAGCAGACTAAATCCCCAAACCTAGGAATTATTTTGATTCCACCCCTTTCCTAACCCATTCACTTCCTTTCTTGACGCCCAAAATTCTGGAAGATTCTACCTCCTAAATGCATCTTAAATATGACCACCACTTCTCTGCAGTTCCTCTGGTCTAACCGTATCCTGGATCAACACCATCTTGTACCTAAACCACTTCCAGAAGCCTGACCTAACTGGTTTGCCTGCTTTCTCTGCTGTACCCTCCAATTCTTTCTCTGCCTGATAGACCAGTAGTTGTTTTACCCTGGCTGCCCACTGGAATCATCTTTAACCAGCTTAAAAAAAAACCCAAAAAACTAAAAACAAAAGTAGACTACAACAATGACAAAACACTATTCTGATTGACCTGAGGGTGTGGCCTGGGCATCTGGATGTTGAAAAGCTCCCTTGATGATTCTGATGTGCAGGCAGGGATGAGAACCACTGAGTCAGAATGAGCTTTTAAAAATAAATCTGGCCGGGCACGGTGGCTCACGCCTGTAATTCCAGCACTTTGGGAGCCCAAGGTGGGCAGATCACGAGGTCAGGAGATCGAGACCATCCTGGCCAACATGGTGAAACCCCGCCTCTACTAAAATACAAAAAAAAAAAAAAAAAAAAATTAGCCAGGCGTGGTGGCCCATGCCTGTAGTCCTAGCTACTCGAGAGGCTGAGGCAGGAGAATTACTTGAACCCAGGACGTGGAGTTTGCAGTGAGCCAAGACTGTGCCACTGCACTGCAGCCTGGGTGACAAAGCAAGACTCTGTCTCAAAATAAATAAAAAAATAAAAAAATTAAAAAAAAAAAATCTAATCACAACCCATGCCAGCGTAAAAGCTCTCCCAGATCTGGGCCCAGCCGACCTCTGGATTCTTCCAGGATTTCCATGGTTCCCTACAGGACTCCAGGGCCTCCTTCCTCTTCCTCAAATACTCGGAGCATTTCACTGCCTCTAGGCCTTTGCCCGCATTGTTCCCACTGATTAGGCCGCTCATTCCTCAGCTCTTTGCAGGGCAAGTTCTCAGTCATCAGAGCTAAGCTCAATGTGGCTCCCATGGGAGGCCTTCCCTGGCCCATTCCAAATGTTTGCTAACTCAGTACTCTTGTTAGTTCCTTCCTGGCACCAGTCTGTTTGTCAATTCCTAAAGCTCAGGGTACAGCCCAACTGGTTGCGTCAGCTGAGGAAATCCAGGCTGGAGAGTCTCTGAAATTTAAGCAGGTCAGAAATGCTCACACCCACCTGTAACACAACCTCTCTCCTGCACTTCCTACCCTTCATTGTAATTACCTGTTTAGAAATCTGATCGCTTGACTGGACCAGAAGCTCCCTGAGGGCAGGGCTTGCACTTTATTTAGTTTGTTTCGTATTCCCAGCTCTATCTTAGTGCCAATACAGAGCTGGTGCTAACAAGATGTTTGCTTCCTAGAAGAAAAGCAGATAGCTATTAAAGAGGTGAAGCAGGGAAAAGACGTTAAGGAGGATGAAGCTAAAAGAAGACTTTAATCAGGGTATCTAGAGAGTTCAAAGAGTTCTGGGATTTATGTCCAAAAGATGTGATCCAAGTCTTGGCTGTGTGACCTGAGGTAAGTGACTTTAATCACTCTGGGCAAGTGGACAATGACACACACCTCCTGGGTTGTTCTGCAGGGGTAAAATGAAAAGATGCCTGTGACACAGGCATTATTTTTCCACTGTATACAGACCAGGGGATTATCACATTGTGGTGAGATTTCTTTTTATTTTCTTTTAATCCATGACTGAAAAGTGGTATGGAATTAAGAAGGAAAGGTAAAAGCAAAAAACATAAAATTTAAAAAATAATAGTCGTCATTATTAACGAGGACTTCTAAAGCAAGTTTCTAGCCTTTTTCCTTTTTCTAGATCAGAATTTGCTCCTAACACTTCTCAGCCTTTTGGCTAAGATCAAGTGTAGAATTTGCTCTTAACTGGTTAAACACAAGGTCTTCCAAGTCAGGTTGCCTTGGTTCAAATTACACTTCTATCATGGATGAGGTGTGACAAGGGCCAGCACACTATGACCACCAAGGCAAATCCCACCCACAGACTGCATCTGTAAATAAAGTTTTATTGGAACACAGTCAGGTCCACTCATTTACATATCGTTGGTGGCTGTTTTTGTGCTACAAAACCACAATCAAGCAATTGGAACAGAGAGCTCATGGCCTGCAAAGTCAAAAATATTACAATCTGGCCCTTTGGCCCTTTATAGAAAAAGTTTGCCAATTCCAGTTTTACACAAACAAATTACTTAACTGTCCTAAGCCTCAGATTCTTCAGTCTGGAAAACGGAGATATTAATAATACTTCCCTCTTAGGGCTGTACTTTCCTCAGAGGGCTGAGGAGAGACCAATGAGATAATCCACATAAAATACTTCACACGATGCCAGGCACATGGCAAGAATTCACTGATGAAATTACTGAACAGTAAACATTACTGTTAAAATTATCAGTGCTAAACTTCATCCATCCACCTATTCATTAATTCACCCACTAATTCATACATTCAACAAATATTTACTAAGCACCTAATAAGTGCCAACAATTATACTAGGATGTATTGTACTGCAAATATATCTATTAGACAAACAAAAGTACAGACAAAAGAAAATGAAATTTTTCTGCCAGTCAGATGCTCGAACCCTGTGAATTGTGTAATTGTGATATTAGTAGATATAGTATTAATACTATGTTAACCAGACTACAAGTTTTGTTTTGTTTGAAGATATACTGCAATAGGAAACCCAGTGCCTCTTCCACAGTAAGCCTTCAAAATATCTTTGTGGAATGACTGATAGATTGATAGTTGTTACCAACCGGGGAGGCTTCTAATGATAAAAAACTGCACAAGTTTTATGGCACAGTAAATGAACCATACCTGTAAACATCACAGGAAAATCTCCAAAAATCTAGAAACAGCTTTTTACAAGTGTTGTGTTAATCAGATCTTGGTATCCCTGCAAATGTAATTTAAAAGACTGAGCATGCTCTGAGAAACGTGACAGTTATTTTAGAATGTTAAATATGCGAAGTTCAACATTTATATAAGGCACAGTGCAATGATTCTGTTGGTAGAACAATATACAGAATTCAAGCAGTTTGTGAGCTAGCTGGGAAAAGTCCCCTTTAAATTCTCAAACTTTATTCTTACATTTTCAGATGAAACCTTTGTAAAATGTATTGCATGCTTCATTGCCTCCTTAAACATAATTTAACCCTCTATAAATGACTAAAGATGGTCCGTTTGAATAATAATTGGGTCACCAGGTTCTAATAAAGCAGAAGTCTCAGGGTACACGTTCTTCTGCAAGTGTCATAGAAAGTAAAGACACACAGAACCCTGAAGAGCTCTCTAGTGAATGTAGTATGTGTGTTTTAGTGTATAGATATGGTGACATATAAATTGGTGCCTGTGAACCTTTAAAATTATTTTAAAATTATTGCCTGTGCATTAGCTCCTCAAGACTGTCAGGTCACTGATCCACTTGTAAGCTGGGTGACTTATAAGAAGTCTCATTAGGAAACAACTCTAAAACGTGGAAGTCCTTAGTTTAAAATGGTCTTCCCATTAGACATTGAGGTCCCAGAAGAAATGTGTGTTGTGATTTGCCTGTTATCTTTATTTTTCATTGAGGTGTAACATAAACCAGTAAGCTACACAAATGTTAAGTATATAGTCAGATGCATTTTCACATCTGTATACACCCATGCAACCTCAGCCAGATGAAGACAAAAATTTCCAGAACTCTAGAAGGCTTCCTTAAGACCCTCCAGTTGATAGCCCCATATTCCATAGGCATTAATGGAAACATACACCAGAATCTTGTCTCACCTTCTTTCACTCGTCGTTATATCTGAGATTCACCCATGTTTGTCCAAGTAGTAGTTCATTTTTATTACTGTAGAGAATACCATTATGTGAAAATATCAAGATAGATTTATCCAATGATTTGCTGTGTTTATGGTAAATTATTTCTCTTTCTGTTGCATAAAGCATCACCAACTTGATGCAGTTTATGGAAAGAAGATTTCCGGCCAATAAAGCACATCAGAGTAGGGTGTAACATTTCAGGAAAGGAGGCAGCACAGCAATCATGCTGAATTTTAACTTTTTCCAAAGGATACTAAAAGGCCTACCTGATACTAGATGGATTTTCAATCTGTCCTATGACAACGGAAGTCAGCAGAACCTCACAGGCAAGTGCAAGGACTTTAAGAGTTGGGCAGACCTTCAGGTTTGGGTTCTGGGCTCTGGTTAGCTGGTTGACTTTGGGCAAGTAACTTAACCTCCTTGAGACTCAATTCCCCAAACTCTGACAACAACTGACAATAAAGACAACACTGACAATAAACCTCTTACAGCTGTCATGAGAGTTGCTACAATAATCCACTTATCGAATAAACACCCCAAAATACTGGTTATTACTGTAATTGAAAAAGTTGCTTAAAATATACTGAAACCTTGACCGGCAAATTAAAAACATCATAGGAAACTTATTTTTTGAGCAACCCTTGTAATGATATTCTTTCCCACTGTAAGAATGTGCCTTGGGGTCAGGAGTGGTGGCTCACACCTGTAATCCTAGCACTTTGGGAGGCCAAGGCAGGTGGATCCCTTGAGCCCAGGAGTTCAAGACCTGCCTGGGCAAAATGGAAAACCCTTGTCTCTGCAAAAAATACAAAAATTAGTCCCACTGTACTCCAGCCTGGATGACAGAGTGAGATCCTGTCTCTAAAAAAAAAAAAAAGAATGTGCCTTGGATCAATCTATATGGTGCCTGACACAGTTATACTCTATAAGTTGAAATTCTGAGATACTAGAAATTAATAATATTGATTTCAAGCAGATATAGAAGTGACATTAATTCTCTTTGGGTTTGGCTATCAGTAAAGAGCAAACATGAGTTTCACGGTCTTTCCTCCATTACCAATCACTTTTCATCGAGTGGTAACCTACCTGCTTATACTCCTCAACCCTTGAAAACCTCTTGATATATGCTACCAAAAAAAATTTTAGTTGAGAGTCTGCACCAAAGATAAACACTCTTTAAATCACCCAAGGGAAAGGGGTTTTTTTCATGTGTGATTTCTAGTCATCTGCATTAATGTTGAGAAGATAAACCAATAGGAAGGTTATCTATGAATTTTAGATACTCTGTACACCACCTTCCATGAAACCTGAGGGAGATTAAAACTCTGTCTGGTTGGTAGTCAGGTCACTCAGGTATGGATCAAGAGGTAGGAAGATAAGAGATGAGAAACATGTGACGATGCTCTGAAAATCTCTATTTTTCTGATGACCTGAAAATCTGAGCTTTAACTCTGCCTCTGTATAATTGCAACAGTCAGTTGAATCCCAGTTTAGCAAAACAGTGTCAGTAAATAGTAGCCCAAGAATGTAAATTACCATAGTGATTTGGGGCTTTAAAATAGTTACTAACATTTTTATGGCTGGGTGTGGTGGCTTATGTCTGTAATCCCAGCACACTGGGAGGCTGAGATGGGAGGATTGCTTGAGGCCAGGAGTTCAAGACCAACCTGGACAACATAGTGAACCCTGTCTCTACAAAAAACTAAAAATTAGTAGGGCAAGGTGGCATGCACCTGTCCTAGCTGCTCAGGAGGTTGAGATGGAAGGATTGTCTCAGCTCAAGAGTTCGAGGCTGCAGTGACTTATGATTGCACTAAATGCACTCTAGCCTCAGAGACAGAGCAAGATCCTGTCTCAAATAAATAAATAAACACATTTAAAAAATTATCTTGGTATGTTTAGAGGTTAACATTCCTTATTCTGCTTCTTACTGACTCTGTTACATAACTCAAACAGTTGAAGTATATGAAGTACTTTGGCTACTACATGTAGGAAAGAGAAAGAATATCATAAAAGCACAAGAAACTTGTGAGATAAAATAATGACTCCTAAACAACAACAACAACAAAAATGCCCTGTGTTAATGAGAATATGGTCAACTGATTACCTGTGTACTTGGTTAAGAGAATTACATGAACAACAGCCTTTCAAAATTAAAACTGAGTATACTTGTTAACCTAGGAAATCTACGTTTTTTTTTTGTTTGTTTGTTTTTGTTTGAGACAAAGTCTCACTCGGTTGCCCAGGCTGGAGTGTAGTGGTGCGATCTTGGCTCACTACAACCTCCGCCTCCCAAGTTCAAGTGATTCTCCTGCCTCAGCCTCCCAAGTAGCTGGGATTACAGGCAGGTGCCACCATGTCCAGGTAAGTTTCGTATTTTTAGTAGAGATGGGGTTTCACCATGTTGGCCAGGCTGGTCTCGAACTCCTGACCTCAGGTGATCTGCCCACCTTGGCCTCCCAAAGTGCTGGCATTACGGGTGCGAGCCACCACACCCGGTCGGAAAGCCACTTCTAAGACTTTTAAAAAATAATGTGGATAAGTGGATACGGGCATAAACATATCAATACAACATATCAGTATTTTTTATCAGAGGATGACAATCTGAAGTTACTCTAATAAATCCATAAATAGCTACCTACTATGAATTATGGCACCGCCATTTAGTGTCAACTATGAAGTAGTTAAAAAGGATGAGGAAAATCTGTATCTTCTAATATCAAGACATGATTATTACATATTACTAGGGTCAAAACCACTTTATAGTAGTTTCGTTTTATTCAGGTAACATATTTGTAAGTGTTTTTAAAACTTCCGACAGCAGAAAGGCAAACCTTACTGGTTCCCTCCAGAGGGTAGGATCCCCTTTTCCTTAATAGTCCCTCATGTTGCTTGACATTTGTACAAGCATGATTATTTTTACAACCAGAAAAAGTGATCTGCATTTCGAAAACACATTGTATTCAAATGTTGATATATTGCATATGTCAATTTTCATATTTTTATATATAATTTGGTATGTGTATTTTACGATTTGGATCTGTGTATATATCAAATTCGGCACATTTGTATCAGATATATAAATGATTAAATTATAAATAAGTATTTAAATATATCACAGTAAGCATTTCAGCAAAGAGTAACCTAGGTAGGGTGAGTGGCAGGAACTAGAGTGGTGCTGATCGGTTTCCAGCTGGCTGCTGTGTTTCTGACACAGTGTCAGATGCTGTCAAACCACAGCTGGACTCCTCTGTGGCAGGTAATAGGAACAGGCCATATTCCCACACAGCTAATCTTTAATCTACTTCTCCTCCCATGTGGAGCTGGATGGGGTCAGGAGATGCCAATATGGAATTTCTCAGCAAACTTCTGGGAGCCTGGCCTCATCCTGACCTGGGTAAGGAGCACAAGAAGATGTTGCACTAAACCTAAGAAGCTGGTTTCCCAAATAGGCCCAAAGTTAAATCATCTCTCAGACATGAATCATTTTTTTTGCCCCAAGAATTGTGATACATATGATTCTCTATAATCAACAGGACTTCAGGTGGTACGGTCTGCTCCGAAAGGTGAAAGAGACCTAAAGACATACACCCCAAAGTGACCTCCAAAGAAACAGTCGCAGAAGAAGAGTCAATCATGGACATCTGACACCAAACTGGAGAAGTCACCTCAGGTTTGAGTTGCTGTTTTTCTTTCCCATTCCTTCAGGACCACTACTCACAGACACGAACGTACATACATCTTAGGGAGATGGTAATGTTTCCAGGTGTTACCCTGATATCAGTTGTGATCTCTTTCATTTCACCAACAGAACCTCTGAAAACTTAGCAAAAATGACTGCAGTCCCTGCCTCTAATGCCCAGATAGGACTCGTAAAGGTCTACCTCAAATGCTAGAAGCAATCTGTTCCTCAAATAATAGTAACAGTTAATATCTACTGGGAGCTTATAAAGGACCATTCACTATACTAGTGCTTTACATTCATTATTTCTCTTTATCTACAACAACCTTAAGAGTTAGAACAAATAATCATTCTCATATAACAGCTCTGGCAATTAAGACTTTGAGAGAACAAATGTTTGCCTAAAGGCATAGCTAGAAAGTAGTAGTGACTGGCAGGGCGGGATGGCTCACGCCTGTAATCCCAGCACTTTGGGAGGCTGAGGTGGGTGGATTGCTTGAGGTCAGGAGTTTGAGACCAGCCTGGCCAACATAGTGAAACCCGCCTCTAGTAAAAATACAAAAATTAGCTGCGCATGGTGGTGCGTGCCTGTAATCCCAGCTACTCAGGAGGCTGAGGCAGGAGAATCACTTGAATCTGGGAGGCAGAGGTTGCAGTCAGTGAGCCAAGATCACACCACTGCACTCCAGCGTGGGCGACAGAGTGAAACTCCATTTCAAAAAAAAAAGAAGAAAAAAAGAAAGTGGTAGTGACTGGGCTTCAACCTGGGGCCATGGTGTTTCTGGTACAACCCAAGCCACTGCCTACTCATCATAATTCCTATAACTCACATGCATGGTTTCCTCTTTAGGCCTCATTTATCTAATCATTCAAGTCCTTAAGAATGGCAGAGAACACCAAAACAAAATTTTTTAAGTCCTACAGATTCATACATACATACACGTAGATGAGGGCTTTGAGGACAGATATGCAAAATCAACATCCTCAATTTGCATATGGAAAACAATGTTTCTGTGGGACAATTGACATTTAAAGGAAAAAAAGATCCAGGGTGACAATGATATTTCTGGAATACTATGTTAGAAAATGGGCCCGGTGGTGGCTCACGCCTATAATCCCAGCACTTTGGGAGGCCGAGGCCAGAGGGTCACCTGAGGCCAGGAGTTCAAGACCAGCCTGGACAACACAGTGAGACCCTGTTCCTACTAAAAATTTGAAAATAGCCAGGCTTGGTGATGCGTGCCTGTAGTCTCAGCTACTTGGAGGCTAAGATGAGAGAATTCCTTGAGCCTAGGAGGCTCCAGGCTGCAGTGAGCTATGACCATGACACCGCACTCCAGCCTGGGTGACAGAGAAAGACCTTGTCTCTAAACAGAAAAGAAAATGACAGATTCTTTTTACTTCAGTCTTTATCAGAGAGCCTTTATTATGTTAAAGCACACTGTCAGTCTCTAAGAGGAAGCTGTGCTAGACTAGACATCACTTTCCAGGACTTGATCGAGGTGGAGCATCTTCCAGGAGTACTGCTCCTCAAAGGATGTTCTGGGAAAGGCTGGCCTCGTGGATTCCAGAATACCACGTTCACCAACAGTTTCCGAGCTCCGCAGGCACTGCCTGTTGATTTGACTTAACTTCTCTACAAGAAATGCACAGAGAAGGGGACACAGTTCCACTCAAGGAACTCACTACAACAATTCTGGCATAATAACATCTTAAATATTATTCCATACAGTGTACATGTATGAAGAGAAACCAGACTCCCTACATCTGGCTCCAAGAATCTTGGCTGTGTAAAGGTTCCAAAGCTAGAATCACTTCCCACAGAGCCCTACAATCTCTAAAACAATGACATTCCACAAGCTCTCCTGCTTCATCCCACACAGCTTGCTTCCAGTAATTTATACAGCCAAAGAGATGCCTCCTAAAGCCCCAAAGTGTGCATATTCAGACACCATTTCAAAGATCTAGTGTCAGAAACTATTTATTTTCCTTGATTACAGAGAACCTACCAACTTACAGCCCTCGCAATTTCTACCAGCAAGTATTGTGTATGCAGAGAAAGTGGGAAACAATTGAAAAGACAAATGAACGCTCATGCTCTTAGAAATGTGAACGGATTGTATAGAACAGAATACTGGTGTTCTGCAACATCACTTAGTCTAGAAATATGAAGCAATACAAATGCTAATGGGACTGTATGCTGCCTTGCAAACTCTATTGCACTTTTCACACACACAAGTCCTGTCTCTCTGAAAAACTTGCAAGGTAGAGCGTATCATTCCTTTTTTTTTTTTTTAAAGCATCTACTCCAATGCCAAGCCTGCAGACGTTACTGAATAAATCTCTACTGAGTGGATAAATGCCTTCATATTATGGAAGCATAAGAGGGCATTTATTTATTTTGTACTCAATAAAGTCGCGCTGGGGAAAATATTCAGCACCTGATTATGGAACGTCCGATGTAATCAGACTAAAATCAATTATTGAGCATGCTGAACAAAATAGCTGTTGGTCACAAGTTGGTAGTTTGGTGGCAATTCTTTTTGTAGGTGGCTTCTCTCTTAGCACATCTCTTTCAGTTAGGGTCCTGTCAGGAGACAGAAACCACGTCAGTAATTTGAGCAGGGAAAATTTAATATATAAAGAATTGCTGACAAGTAAAAGATAGGTAACTACCAAAAATGGGGAGGGAGGTCTCTAAGGGGTACAGGAAAAGCTACTGCAAAAAAAAAAAAAAAAAAAAAAAGCCATTATTTCTAGAATAGAGAGAGAGCTACTGAACAAGGAAGAAACTAAGAACTCAGAAGAGGGCCCTCTGTGCAAAGGCTGATATTTAGACCTTGAGAGGGCATGAATGTCACAGGAACATGGAACCTCTGGCAAAGAAACTGCCAGAGGGTGTGCTGGTGATGGTTTATAGGAATGGCCCACTAGGTGATGAAGAAACTCTGTGGAGTGAGAGCGGACCAGCACATACCCAGAAGAGTGACTCACTGGGTTGTGGAAAAATTTACCAGAAAGCATAGATTAGAAGGAGCAGCCCAGAAAGACATCTGCTGGAGGGTGTGGGCTGCAGCTGTTTTGAGAGCTGCTGAGATGAGTGGCACTGGTTGGGCCTCCCTCTTGCTGATCAGCTGCCTACAGGGCCCTTAAGCAACAAAGAGAGCAGGAGGGAAAGCCCCACCTCTGACTTCCCTCTGCAGTGCCCCCAGTGTCCTCTACAGGCACAACCCACTGCTGCACCAGCTATTAAAGGAGGAATGTGGGAAAAAAACTACTTTAAACTTCATATGGAACCAAAAAAGAGCCTGCATAACCAAGACAATCCTGGGCAAGAAGAACAAAGCTGGAGGCATCACGCTATCTGACTTCAAACTACACTGCAAGACTACAGTAACCAAAACAGCACGGTACTGGTACCAAAACAGATATATAGTCCAATAAAACAGAACAGAGGCCTCAGAAATAACACCACACAGCTACAATCATCTGATCTTTGACAAACCTGACACACACAAGCAATGGGGAAAAGATTCCGTATTTAATAAATGGTGTTGGGAAAACTGGCTAGCCACATGCAGAGAACTGAAACTGGACCCCTTCCTTACACCTTATACAAAAATCAACTCAAGATGGATCAAAGACTTAAATGTAAGACCTAGGACCATAAAAATCCTAGAAGAAAACCTGGGCAATACCATTCAGGACATAGGCATTGGCAAAGACTTCATGTCTAAAACATCAAAAGCAATGGCAACAAAAGTCAAAATTGACAAATGGGATCTAATTAAACTAAAGAGCTTCTGTACAGCAAAAGAAACTATCATCAGGGTGAACAGGCAACCTACAGAATTGGAGAAATTCTGCAATTCTGCAATCTATCCATCTGACAAAGGGCTAATATCTAGAATCTACAAAGAAATTAAACAAATTTACAAGAAAAAAACAACCCCATCAAAAAATGGGCAAAGGATATGAACAGACACTTCTCAAAAGACATTTAAGCAGCCAACAGACACATGGAAAAAAGCTCATCATCACTGGTCATTAGAGAAATGCAAATCAAAACCACAATGAGATACCGTCTCACACCAGTTAGAATGGGGATCATTACAAAGCCAGGAAACAAAAGATGCTGGAGAGGATGTGGAGAAATAGGAACGCTTTTACACTGTTGGAGGGAGTGTAAATTAGTTCAACCATTGTGGAAGACAGCGTGGTGATTCCTCAAGGGTCTAGAACTAGAAATACCATTTAACCCAGCAATCCCATTACTGGGCATATACTCAAAGGATTATAAATCATTCTACAATAAAGACACATGCACACATATGTTTACTGAGGCACTGTTCACAATAGCAAAGACTTGGAACCAACCCAAATGTCCATCAATGATAGAACGGATTTAGAAAATGTGGTACATATACACCATGGAATACTATGCAGCCATTAAAAAGGATGAGTTCATCTCCTTTGCAGGGACATGGATGAAGCTGGAAACCATCATTCTCAGCAAACTATCACAAGGACAGAAAACCAAACACTGCATGTTCTCACTCATAAGTGGGAGCTGAACAATGAGGACACATGGATACAGCGGGGAAATATCACACACCGGGGCCTGTTGCGGGGTGGGGGGCTGGGGGAGGGATAACATTGGGAGAAATATCTAACGTAGGTGACGGGTTGATGGGTGCAGCAAACCACCAGGGCACGTGTATACGTATGTAACAAACCTGCACATTCTGCACATGTAACCCAGAACTTTAATAATAATAAAAAAAAAAAAGAGCGAGAGAGAAATGTTTCCAGGGTTCTACACCAAGATTACAAAGTTGGGCAAGAAAAGGCAAACTTGTAACTGAGAGGTAATAAATGACTAACTGGCATACTTTCCATTAGAGTCTGAGTGAGAGTGCAGAGATTTCCACGGATTTATCATCAGCATATGCTAAAAAGTCTATAAGGCATTGATTAAAAGCTTTTTCTCTCAGTAACTAAGAAGAATGGGAATTTAGTAAGTAGTTAGTACATTGGCTAGCACAAATAGGTGCTCAATAAACATGTAATGAATGAATGGATGAATCAACAAATATGAGTTTTTACTGTTTTATCTTTGACCGTGACTCTGGTTAGTTTTCCAGTTTGAGAAGAGAATATCAGTATTCAGACACCAAAATATGTGTTTTGTACATTTTCTCTGTTACAAGATCAGTTAAGAAACTTTCACTATAGTACGTACCATATATTATTCAAAATTCAATTCACATGGAAAAAAATCTCCAGAGGGGTCTTAACCCATTTTATACACTGGTATTTATAGCAGAAATAAACATGTCTTCAAGTTAGCAGGTTATTGCCTGGGACTTAGAAACATTTTGTTTGAGTTATAAAAAGCTATCTTCTTTGTGTTATCTGTTATAGGAGTATTTCATGTGCATCTATCATGCTGTAGGCATATCAATGCATCTTTAATAGCCCAGAAGCTTCCTTTTAATGAAAACTTGGGGACACAAAAATCTCAAATTAGGAGGTGACTAATCATATTATAGAAGTATGCTTCATGGTATGAGTGATTTGCCATATAGATCACTGGAACAGTTGGCTCCCATGATGTAACTACGAATCTGATTCTAGTGACAAGATTTGGATGGAAACATAATTCTTAACAGGGATGCCAACTGTGAAAAGTGAGATATAACCAACCATATGACTGTCGTTTCTATTTCTATAACTGTTTCACATTTCTCTTAATTGGAACACCTCTAACTTACAGGTGAGAGAGATCCTGGTTCAAAATAGGAAATCAAGTTCTTAATGCTGAGAGTAGCCTGACACTTATATTGCCAGTGAAGGTAATCCAGAAAAGGCAGTTATCATTTTCCTCTTCAATAAGGTTCCCGTATTAATATCGATCATTATATTCTTCCTATGGAAACCATATGATTCCTTAGAAAGGAGACTGGATATAAGTCATACACCCAAAGATACTCAGTGCTGTGGAAATAGATACAATTAAAATACTCTTAGGTATATGACTTCCATCAGAGGAAGCCAGGCCAGATGAAACACAAGACTGCTGTTTCTGTTCCTAGAGGTATGTATAGTTTCACCAAAGATATCAAGAGGGCTTGGTGAAACCCCATCTCTACAAAACATACAAAAGTTAGCAAGGCGTGGTGGCACATGCCCGTAGTCCCAGCTACTGGGGAGGCTGGTGTGGGAGGACTGCTAGAACCTGGGGGATGTCAAGGCTGCGGTGAACCGTGATTGCGTCACTGCACCCCAGCCTGGGCAACAGAGTGAGATCAAGCCAAAAAAAAAAAAAAAAAGCCTTTAAGAGTTTGCAGGGGACCAAAAAAATTCAGGACTAGGACTATAAGACAATTATCTATTAATGCCCCAGGACAGACAACATTTAGCTGTTGGATATCTGACAAGAGATCCCGCACTCTGATCTCACTTTCCTGAGTTATGACTTTCAGCAATGCCCTGCTTAGTGTATGGTGTCTGCTGAGATGTACCACAAAGGTGCTACCCAACTGTGATGTTAGAGTCCAGTAACAAAGAAAGTTCACTCACTGTGAATTGGTGATGCCCTCCCCAACCTTCTCTAGGTTCTTCTACCTCTGTTTCCATGATGGCAAAACCATATAGATTTAGAAAATCTGCCCATATCACCTTCTTTTCAGTTTTGCTATAGATAAAAGTTTTATCTGGGAGACACACATATATAGATTAGTAAGGTCACCATGAAAATAAAATTTAGGAACTTCATTTCTAGATGATGACTATAAAGATCAGTTACTGTGATACAGTCTTGATATTTATAAGGCAGAAAAAATCTCTAAATGTGTTAATGTTTCTACAAAACTAATCCTACCAGACATCCTTAAAGCATAGCTTGCATCTGTCATATTCATTGTTGTTCCCTAGGCACATAGTGGAATGTTCATTAAACGCTTATTAAGTGAATGATTTAATGACCTTGAGAAGACACCAAGAGATCTACGTTGACATATGAATGTTGGGCAACTGACTAGCTCCTGATTCACAAATTATACCTCAAAGACTCCATGGTATCTCTAAAAACTATAGAATCTGTGATTTGTAGAACCTCAACTGCCCAGACTGAATAATACCAAATCCACCCATATTGTGGCTCTAGCATATGTTCCCTTTAAGCTAATTTCTTACGCACCCAGAGGCAATTCCATCAGCCTCTCCTCCAGAAAGTCTTCAGGAAACCTTCTATTCTTAAATGCCTCTCTAGACAAGTAAACTAATCTTATCTGTAAGGAGGTGAAAATCAAAATGAGGTTTTTCTATGCTATGTCTATGCTAGGAGATCTTCACTCTCCTATTGATAGTATGGCTTCACAGTTGTTGATTTTAGTTGTCTACATTAGAAATTCATTTGGAGCAACATAATTAATACCAATCTTGAATTTTCTCAAGTTTTATTTGCTGGAAAAGAAATCATGTCGAAGTCTAACAAAACTATGGCAGTAATTAACTCAGATCACACACCAGAACATTAATATAGCTATTTGGCTACTCCTGCTAATACGGATGCCCTGGAAATACAACCAATTTTCCCACTGACAATGACTAAAACATGTTATTTGTCTTTGTGTAGCTCCATGCATAAATATCTATGAACAACTGTTTCATTCCCCCAACATCACGCTATAGCAATGAAGTTTCCAGATCCATTAATAAAAAATACAGCAATTCACCATTCCAAAATGACCACAGTTCTTTTAACTGAGGCGTTTCTTGCCTGAACTATATTGTTTAAGTAATGATGATTTCTTTATTGTATAATAAACTGCAAAGAAATTAGGAAAGATGAATAGGCAAACTAAAAATAAAAATGTATCCTATTACCTAGATATAAGCAATGTTATTGTTTTGATTACTACACTTCTAGGCTTTTTTCAATGCAATAGTTCTAGAACAATGCAATAATCCCAGCATAATGCAAGGTTAAAAAAATCTGCAAAGCTCTGAAGTTTTTGACATATGATGACATATGACCTTGCAGACCATCAGTTCCAGCTTTTGTTCCCGCTAGTAGTAATGCACATGGGAAGGTCTTTTCCCAGTGAAATGTGTAAGTGAATTCTGTTCCTCATCAAAAGCAAGAAGAAGCAGAGAGTTAAGCTCAAGTCCACTATTTAAAAAGGTCCTCAACTGGCGTAAACACAAATACTAGTCTACATTTCTCCACTGGACACTGAAATTGCTACGAAATAGCCTATTACTGCCTGTTGCATACAAGGTACTTCATCATAATTTACTAAGTGGATAACTGAATGAGCAAATAAATAAAGTCAAGATAATTATCCAGAGAAAGACAATTTTCAGATAACAAGGCAAAGGGCTGAAAGTCCTTAGGTAGAATTGTACTGACTTTCAGGGATTAAAGAAGTATTCTGGAATTTCTAAAACTATACGATTTCATGCTCAAATCTCATATTTGGCTGACAAAACAAAGCAAAAGAAGACAATAACCACAAATCATGGAAGGAGTATGAGATGGAAGGCCAGCAGGGCTATATACAATCATTTCACCATGACACTGTGCCTGAGTCCATGAGTTGTATAAAATAGTACCATAATAGTGTCCTTCTGCCATTGGCAATTAAAACAAAAAAATCCCTAGAAGGTTCCAAATCAGTATTGTCATAAAGTGCATCTTGCGTTTTGGCAGGAAGTAAAGCAAGTAGAGCTCCCTCCCATGTAGCAGCAAGCTTAGGCTCCATAAAGTAACAAAAATATACCTAATACTCTAGACCCTGAGCTAACAACATTGGTTAATCAGAGGGATGGCACAGTTTTGACTGTGCTTTTATTTCATTTATGATTTTATTGCAACAGGATTCTGCATCTGATGGTGAGAATAGCGAGTGAGAGGTTGAAATGATGAGCAACTCTTGGTAAAATGCAAGTTGCTTAAAGGTTTGGGTCTACCTGCAAAATTACATCAACACTCTACAAGCTGTTGAGACCACGAAACAACTCCTCAGCTGGTGGAGTTTCTAGGCTACCCACTTCCTCTGCCTCGTCCATGGATGCTGCCCCAGCCTGTGTGCCTAGATTCTCTGATGACAGGTGTCATCAAAATGCAGACACAGATACTCTGCCACCTGGCCTGGGCTTGCTGCTTTTATTCACCAACTGTCACAAAATGACATCAGAATGAAAAGAGGATCTATCTGTAGGAGAAGGCATCATAGGCTTGAAATTTCTTCATGGGAACCAAGGAGATGGAGCAAACTAGAAGATAATTATGTATTCCTTTCTAGGGCTGGCCTTTCTAGGCACATCTCAGACTATGGAAACAGGAAAAAGGTTTAAAAACCGTGAGACCGGAATCCCAGGCGCTGGAGATGGATAACTTTTATTTTGCTCTTAGTTTATTCCTTTAGAAGAATTCTAGTTAGACATGTGGGAGGAGAAGGCAAAACCCTGCTTAGCACTGGTGGGGAGCTGGTGAGGGTTGAGAGTATTTCATTAAGACCTTCAATATTTTATTAAGACCTTCACTTAATGGACTTTGTCCTAGAACAATGCACAAGACAGGCTTCCTTTCCGCGTGCTATGAGTCCAAGCATGCCACAGAAAGATCACAGTCTTGAGGTTGAATGTTCCAATAGCTGGAAACACAAAATAAAATAAAAAAAAAACTTGATGAGGAACAGCTGAGGGTTAGGAAAAAATGTCTATTTTAAAAAGTGATTTTATAGGTTCAAAAATCTTCTTTTACAGGAAGAAAAGAAGAGAAGCAGGATGTCATAAAAGATGGGCTGGTAGGATATAACAGAAAGACTTGTGATTTAACTTCTGATTTTTAGTACCAGTGGGGGAAAATGCACTAAATAATCTAGAGGAACAAGCTAAAAAATGCCTTTTCAAAACTTGTTAACAATACTAAGTCTTCAATTTAGATGATGGCATGAGAAATTACTGGTAGGTGCCCTGTAATATGAGCAACTTTTAGATTTCAGCACAATACACTTCTTTTTCCTAACCAATGCTCCTGATATGGGGAACAAAGCTTACAAATCAGAAGGACATTTATTCCTGTGTTGTAGCCACTGACCTCTCAGACCTCTCCAGGGGTCACCGGCAGAGAGTAGTGATGATTTATTCTGCAGAGGAGAAAAAAAAACAGATTTCCTAGCAACCAGTATTATAGAAATACCCACTCAAAATGGACACCACTCTGTTCATTTTCATTTTTCAAAGAAAGGTGTCCAGGCCGGGCGTGGTGGCTCACGCCTGTAATCCCAGCACTTTGGGAGGCTTAGGTGGGCAGATCATGAGGTCAGGAGTTCGGGACCAGCCTGGCCAATATGGTGAAACCCCATCTCTACTAAAAATACAAAAATCAGCCAGGCGTGGAGGCGTGCACCTGTCCCACGCTACTCGGGAGGCTGAGGCAGAAGAACTGCTTGAACCCAGGAGGCGGAGGTTGCAGTGAGCCAAGATTGCGCCACTGCACTCCAGCCTGGGCAACAGAGCGAGACTCCATCAAGAAAAGAAAGAAAAGAAAGGGAAGAAAGGAAAGAAAGGAAGACAGAAAGAAAGGTGTCCAAACACGGCAACAGTTACCTTAAGTATCCACGCTGTGCTAAGCTCTAGACCAGGCACTAAGGATGCAAAAATGGATAAGAAACAAGACCCCCTCAGGAAGTTTACATGTGAGAACACACAATGAGCCTCTATCCTGCTACCAAAATATTACTAAGGAATACGGTAACAATAGGGGAAGATACGAGCAAATACATTTTAAATAGGAAAGAAGGAATGCCAATCAAAGTAGGAAAAAAAAGTCCATTCTCAATGATAACTTAAAAAAAGAAAGAGATACTTTTTCTTTGGCTTACATCAGGAGAGATTTTGAAAGATAATAATGCCTGCTGTTTATTTGTGTACGGCAAAATGGGCAGAGTTACATACTTGATGGGAGTGCAAATTGGTACAACTGTTTTTGAAGACTTTGGAAATAAGTATCAAGAGTTTTTAAATAGTTCATTATTTTTGCTCTATGTGGTTCCATTCCCAGGAAGTGGTTCACAGGAGAAGAAATCAATCAGCAGGGGTAGGTTTGGGCCAAACTAAAACATCTGGATTTTATTCACAGGCCACTGGAGGCCACTGCCAAATTCTACATGAGGATAACGATGAAAGAAAAGTGCTCCTAGTTAGCATCAAGGGAGACTGCAGGATGGCCTGGAAGGCTGAGAGTCTGCAGTCAAAGTGAACATTTCAGATACTTGTGTAGTAGTAAAGGGTAAGACAGTGAAGTGTTTATAAAGGGCTTAAAGCTCAAAAGCCATAATTAAACATATCAAAACTGATTAATAATATTATCATAAAGTTAAGTTGAAATGAACAATCAGTTATTCTTTGGCATGGTATAGATTCCGTATGCACACAATGTGATGGCCTGTCGGAATTTTCCATATTTCAATTGTTGGTTTTGGTTTTTACAGACTGAAGTTCTATGTTAAAGTTTTCTTTCCTGAAAATTACCCTTTCAAACTAAATTTGCTGCATCTCGTGATGCAATAGAATTGCTGAGATACTAGTTAAGTGGCTGCTTCATTTTTTGTGTGATAACTGTTCAACATAAACAAAAGTAGAAAGAATAAGTGTAATGAACTCCTACGTACCCATCACTCAGCTTCATGACCAGTCTTCTTCTGTCTACATCCTCACACTCCTCCAATTATGCTGAAGCAAACCCTCAATCATTTATTATTAACAAATATTTTCATACATCTTTCTAGAAGAAAGAGATTCTTCAAATGTCTTAACATGTTCCTTTAGCATTTTGGATGCCACTTTATCATTGCAAATTATACTTTAAAGAATATTACATATAAAAGAAGATTTAGCAGAGAGGTAGAAAAAGAACAAAAGAAGCGTGGTTCTACTTCTCACCAGCAAAAGACCAAAACAAAATAAAACGAAACAAAACAAAAAAGGAGGCTGGATATGAAACAGCCTATAAACAACCCATCTGTCCACAGCTCAGTGGAAACAGTGCACCATTTAAAAATGCCTCCTGCTACGTATTCCATAAAGTCTTTACTAGTATTTATTCCATGGCTAAAATGCCCAAGCATTTAGCCAAACAACTAAAAAATTAAGAGATGGGAACTGAGAGATCCAGAATTCAAATCATACATTCCTGTGTGCTTCTTGTTTTTGTTTTTTTGTTTTTTTGGCTTATGATTGGAAAGCAGAAAAACATCCAGGCAAATCTGGCATATGTCCAGATCCACTCTCTAACTGAAGGGATGCCAAATCCATGGTGAAGAAAGCCCCTCTCTGTGGTCTGACTGCACAGAAACTGAAAGACATAAAATGACAGCGTAGGGGTGGGTTTTCATTCGGCCACAAGGAAATCCCAGGAGGGTAAAGACGGCTCCTGCTTATTTACTTAAAATTGCATTATGTTGTAATAACCAAAGTGTCGGTTTTCTGTTTAAGATATAGAAAAGACTAGAACAGGAACAAGTCACCCCAATTCCCACCACACAGGTCACCAGAGCTGAGAATTGGGTCATAGACCCTTCTAAATTTTTCATACACAAAAACACATTTTGTGTCATGATTTGTGGACCTTATTTGGGGTAAACAGCAGTTGTGGCTGAGTTCGGGGGTTCAAATTCCTGCTCCTCCACTTATTAGGTATGTGACCTACTAGCTAGATTCCAGTTTCCTCATCTAAAAATTACATTATTAAAAGATTTATCCACTTTGGGAGGCCAAGGTGGGAAGATCATGATGTCAGGAGTTCAAGACCAGCCTGGTCAACATGGTGAAACCCTGTCTCTACTAAAAATACAAAAATTAGCCGGGCTTGGTGGTGCACGCCTGTAGTCCCAGCTACTCCGGAGGCTGAGGCAGGAGAATCGCTTGAACCTGGGAGGCGGAGGCTGTGGTGAGCCAAGATCGCGCCACTGCACTCCAGCCTGGGCAACAGAGTGAGACTCTGCCTCAAAAAAAAAAAAAAAAAAAAAAAGATTTAACACTTAAGTACTATGACTACTTACCTCAAAGTCACTTGATATATATATTAAATGCTTTGATGAGTGCCTTGTAATAAGAACCATATACGTGTTTGCTATTCTTAATTGCAGTGTTTGCTTATGGTATTAACATTTTATCAATAACAGTATTAATTAATAACATGGCTCATGTCATTAAAAGTCTCTATAAAACATAAGTTTTTTCTTTTTTTTTCCATCCACCTTTCTGTGTAAGAACATAAAGCGTAATTTTTAATGGTCATATAATTCCAACTTCAGGATGGACCTAATTTATTTAATAATTTCCAAAATGTTGGGCATTTGTGTTTTTTTCCTAACAATTTTCACTATCATAAGAGTGGAATCAACACTTTTGCGGCCACAACTTTTCTAGTATTTGAACTATTTTCTTAGAATTAATTTTCAGGCCTAAAATACCATTTTGAAAGACTAGGAAGTAGCGACGGTTAGTAAGGAATCAAAAAATGACATTCCACAGTAAGGGCTTGCTTACACCAGAATTAATGGTGAGGCAGAAATAGATGGTTATGAGAATCTTCAACTACTGGACCTCTGGATTTTATTGCTTTACTCTGAGTCACAAATTCAGGCAAATCTTCCTCATACCATCAAATCCTGGACAAGAGCCCCACTTTTAGTGCCAGTGGTGAAAATTCCTAAACATGGGAATTTCAAGAGCAAATAAGAAATGCAACTATATGTGTAGGCAGGTGGGCATCAGGGATACGTCCTGTTTCAAACAACTCTAAATTCTAAATTACAACAAAAATGCATCATCTCACAATGTGTCTGTCTAGTGGCACTACGATATGCCTTTTGTTTCTAAAACATCCTACACTTCACACCCCTATATCTGGAGTCAGAACATATTCTGTGACCACAACCCTTCAAGTTTATGCATTCCCTTCAGTTCTACCATCTGTTAACAAGGAGATGTTAAGTATGAAAGGTTGGAAGATACCAGACTCTGCTAGCTTTCTGAGAGAAAATATAAACATACTTAGCATGTCTTCTAGAATATTCACAGAACCTGTCCACTCATAAAACCTAAGAAAAGGCCAACTACTACAGAAAAACCAGGTTTCCTGGAAGGTAATAAAGAATACAGAAATAAAAGCTACAGGGTCTGGGTGCCAGTTCCAGCCATGTGACCTTGGGCAAGTTACTTAACCTCTGATCTTTTCCCCCAACTCTGTTTTTTTTAATGGCCAGAATAAAAGCTGGGGCCAAGGTGGAGGGTGGGATAAAATTGACAATGCCTTATTTGCCCACAGTTATCCCCACTATCCACAGGTGATTGGTTCTAGGAACCCCACAGATACCCAAATCCACAGATGCATAAGTCCCTTATATAAAATGGTGTAGTATTTCCATACAGCCTATACTCATCTTCTTGCTTACTTTAACTCATCTCTAGATTACTTATAATACCTAATACAATGTAAGTGATATGCAAACCATGGTATTATTTTTTCATTTGTATGATTTCATATTGTTGTATTTTTTTTTATTTTTTTTCAAATAATTTCAATTCCTGGGCTGAATTTATAAATCTAGAACCCAAGGATATGGAGGGCTTGTACTGGTCTTAAAGATCAAATCATGTAATATAGGTAAAGGCACTTGATAAATTGTCAAGCCCTATAGAAGAGTAAATTGATATTAAACTATTTTTTCTAATTCTTTTATCAGTCATGCAATCATTCTAAAGCTTAGTATTCTTAATGAAGATAACCTCGAATTAGAATTATTAAATCTCTGTGATAGCAGCTCTTCAAACCTGGGAAAGCATGATGGTAGTAGTTATTAGTCTAACATACTTGCCGCTTTAATAACTCAAGTTAATTTCTTAACATCATAATGTGCATTTAAAAACATTTCACTGAAAGTGCTTTTGAGAATCTCAAATGCTTCCTCTTCTAAAAAGTGCTTCACGAGATAATGTTTGGCCATGCTTGTTGCCCCACTAAAATATTCCTAAAAACAAATAATATACTTTGTGTACCTTATAAAATAATAGAAAAGAAGAAGAGGACTGAAGAAGAAAATCAACACCATGCTTCTTTATTAAAAATGCACACTTTGTTCTATTTTATAAGTATGCTAGATACAGATGGTACAAAAGACTGGAGTTTATTTCATATGCAGGATATCATCTAGAAATTTGTTTTTTGAATGCATTCCTACTATGCTATGGCATTTTCTAACTTGGGGAAGGGTGAATGAGGAGTCCTCTCTTGCCCCCAAAAATATGCCCCCCACCACCAATCGCGTTCATATACCTGTCACACGAGCATGTTGAAAATGCACCATTACTTATGAGTGTTAGTTTATTTTACGTGAAAATGTCAGACCACAGTCCTTTAGAGAACACTCGGTGCTGTTGTGGGACTTATTTAGGTTTTCATTTGCTGGAACGGACACAGGTCTGGAGTAATATCGCCTTTGGCAGAACATCCTGAACTGCATTTAATAGGAGTCACATTCTCACTTCTCAGCTGGAAGATTACATGAGCAAGATCTGAAGGAACTGAAAAGGGCGTCCTTTACCAAGCCTATCTTATACCATTAGGTTTTACAGCCAATATCTCCTTTATGATACTAAGTGGAACAAAGGCAATCGGTTCCAAAGAAACTCTGAGTTTGCCCTTTGCTTAAGCGCGTGATAATAGTAATGGCTGGCTGGGGGTGTCTTTGTGTTTCTGACAGTGGGTTGCTAATGTTGTCAACTTAAGCCAGCTTGGCCCATAATTTCACTTTTAAGATGGGCGGATTTTTGCTTCATATTTCTAAGATGGGCTAGTAAACTGTGTACATTTAAAAATCCTTCTGTACTACAAATGAAACCTAAATGGGAGGTCTTTGGAACTGCAAATTATAACTGAGTATAAAATGTGTTTGGCATTAAAGCCCAATGCAGCTAGGAACCATCCACCTAATTTGTTCTTTTATTTGGATAATTATAATCAGGTTTCAGCCTGGTCATCAATCTGTCCTGAAACTCTGAGGGTGGAGAGAATAATATGATACTATATAAATGCTGACTGTCATTTTTATGTATTAGACATCAATGGACTGTTTGCAGAAATACACTAACGAAATCCCCCAAGAAGTTCAATCTATGGATTTACAGGTTTTACAATATGGCTGCAAAATTAACATTTACAATGGAAAGCAGCCAGTTGTATTTGCAGAGATAACACATGGCAAAACATACACATGAGCTGATCATCATAATCATGCCCTTGTCCAGCTCTCCAAAATTAAAACAGAACCAGAAGAAAGCAGAAAGCCCATTCAATACACTCACATAACACACATAAAACAAGAAATAAAGACGACAGGAGAAAATATCAAATGAGAAAAGCAGCAAAAAGTGAGCTCAGAAAAATTGCCAGTATCAAAACAATAACAGTGTTTCTATAAACCTGATAGTGAGCAGCATTTCTAAAGCCCCTTCTGACCTGCTTTCACCCTCCAGAAGCGTTATTTTCATGAGTCACCAAGTTGGTTCAAATGCATGCTCCCAGAGCCTGAAACAAACTCCCTTCCTCCTATATAAGAAGATAAAATCCTTACAATCTTGGTAATAGAAAGATATCATTTTTCCCGAGGTCCCAGCTACCACCATCTCTCCTCTTTTTGCCAAAGGGGTGCCCATGTGTCCTCCCCTACTTCTCTCCAGCTCAACTCTCTCGGTAGTGCTCCTTATCTGCTCAAAATGCCAACCAAGTTAGTCCCCTTGCTCTGCCAGTTTTTCATTGGCTCCCCAAGAAAAGTCTAGGGCTGATGGCCTTCAAGGCTCTTTTTGTGGTCTAGTGAAGTCAATGCTCTAGCTTGAGCCTTGAGGGCTTTCTCTCTGGTCCTTGAGCACTCAGTTCTCCTGCTTGGGGCCATTGCTCATGCTATTGCTAGTAGCTGAGAATCTCCTCTGCTCAGCCTGTAATTTCCACTCTAGTTAACTTCAGCTGAATCCTGTCTTCTCCCAGAGAGCCTTTCTTGACTCCCCCAAACCTGGACCTGACCCTCATCACATGCTCTCAAAGCAATCAATGTCTTTTTCCCTCACTAGACCTCACACATGTTGAATCATATGTCCATTGGCACATTTACATGATAAACTTCTATTCCCCCAATAGCCTGTGATGTCCACAAAGACCAAGGCCACACAGGTATTCTCTAATCAGGTCAGCCTCAGTGCCTAGCACAGTGCTTGGCATACAGTTGGCTACAAGAAATAGCTGATGAATGAATACTGAAGGAGGCCAGGTTATACTATATATGTATAAGCTAGACAGGCTGAGACAGTAACACTCTTCTTTCATTGAGAACGCAGGATGGTACGTGATCTCCTCTACTGGTGTAACCTCTAACTGCTGTCATTTGTATCCCAGAGAGCCTCCTAAGTCCACAGCGAGGCTGCAACCACACCACCTCACAAAAATCTCCTTGTAGACATTCTTCCTTTGCCTCACTGAAGGTCACATGGGGGATGCAGCTTTGACATTCTCTGTAACTGATAGCATCACGGCGTAAGAGTCCCCTCTGACACCAAGACTGTCTGCTTAACAACTGGTGATGGTACACCGTGCTCTCTCTTCGCTTTATGACCCAAGAATTTTTAAATGAAGCTTTCATAACAAGGATGTAATGGAAGGCATGGTACTTTGCTGGGTATCCAGGCTGATTTTACATGTTTGCCTGACAGAAAACCCTGTGCGACATTTCATCATTTATAAAGCCAGAGAGAAGATTATGATGTTGCTGCTCTGGAAGATAAAGGCACAGAAGGTAGATTACCATTCTGCATGGCACAGTCGGCCTGTGGATACAACTGCTCCTTTGCGGCAGGTCGCAGCCTTCCTGATGTGGGAATATCTGCAAGTGCCTCTTGGCAGAACACAGCCAGGCATGAGCAGAACTGCTTCTGGGCTTCTAAAAAGTTTCAGCAGCAGCTGAGGGGTCCATCAGCCTCCCTACTCTCCCCAGTCTCATAAGACAAGCATCTTTTCTGGTCCACTGCAGAAACAAATTCTCAGCATAGGCCCTGGATAGCCTCAGTGGGGACGTTGGACTAGAAGAGAACTGGCTCTGGGTACTGAGCAACTCAGCAGGTGCTGCCAGAGCCTGGTACATCCTGGCACAGAATATCCAAAATCTTTTACTGAAGCAATGGGACCAGGGGAGCTGCATGGCAATAACCGTCAACAACCAATTTGTATGAGCTTGAAGTGAGATTCCATAGGTATTCAACGGAATGTCTGGAGGTGGACTAGTGGAAAACACGAAGCTCTCACGACCATAGCACCATCCAGATTTCAGGAGAGAGCGACCTGCAGAAGAAGTGGTTCCAAAGTACAAGATCTCCACTGAAAAAAAGACTTTTCCTCAAAGTCCTAATTGTCTTAGGTCCTAAGTATTGTCACAAGGGCACCCCACCAAGGGATGATGACCAGACATATACTGGAGTGGCTGACCCTACCCTAGATCCACACTCTTTGGAAGAAAAAGGGGGTAGGGAGTTTCCAGGAGGGTAGGAGGCAGCCTAATATTGAAGTTCAGAAGAGGGAAAGAGCCTCCAGAGTAAGAAAGACATGGCTTCAAATCCTACCGTTTTCTAGTTGAGTGGCCCTGGGCAAATCATTGAATATCTCTGTTCCTTGGTTTCATTTGTCAGTTGGGGATAGAAGTCCCTACTTTACAGGTTTGAGGCATCAAAGCAGATAATGGATATGAACTGGCACACAGAAACAAAGTTTTCTTCCTTAATATTACTGGTAATAGGAGAAGCAGGAGGAAAAGGAAGAGAGAAGGTAAGAACTTGCCCTTCCTCTCTCACCAGATGTAGTAATTTGTAGCAAAACTAATTTATTCCAAAGTGCTTGGAAAAAAAGCTGTCTTTCTTCCCTCTCTACCCCCAGCTACCTCTCCCCAAGGTAAGGATAGGTCCATCTTAATGCAGGTTCACTAAAAGGAAAAGCAAGCTCAGCCCTTTCCTCTGGAGCTATCTTCCCAGGCAACAGCCCGAGGGGATGATCTTACTTCCAGCCTCCAGTATATGCAGGTCCATGGGCCAACCATGCACCTGCTCCTAATCCCTTGTACCTGAGTTGATAGGCCAGGCAGGCCTTGTTCCACATGCTCATCTCCAAGGGAGGAAGCATGAAAACGTATACCGTCCTCTGGTGCCAGTCATATCCTCCAATCCACCTTATGAGCAAATCTCATACCTGGGTTTCTTTTGGTGCCAATGAGGTGGGACAAATGACCACGCTCCCCTCCACCTGTGAGATTACTACTACTTTTTATAATAAACCAAGGTGGGGAAACCAACAGACAATGGCACGTCTGATCACTTGGCTTCCTGCCGTTCACTATAAAATGAGAAGAGAATTCAAGTTGGACTGGTGTGACTCTGGGAAGCAGAGGGCGGGAGGATCATGAACCTCAGGAGTTGAGAACATGCTCTTTAAGAAAACTAGAGTCCCCAGAGTATGGCCTAAATGAATCATCAACCGCCTAAGCAGCAAGCTAGCCTGATAGGAGCCGGGATGGAGGGCAATTAAGGGACCTCAAGGGATCTCTGATAAGCTCTGCTAGTTCTCAACCTGTGTGCACTATTTAGAATCACGCAAGCAGCTATTAAAAATACCGATGTTCAGGCCATCTCCTGGACCAATTACATCTAAATCCCAGGGGTGGAACCTGAGCATCGGTATTATTTAAAGCTTGCTCAGTGATTCCAGTGTGGAGCCATGATTGAGGAAAGTTGTTTTACACTTTCTCGGCCCACTGAGTTTGGAGAGGAAGAAACAGAAAATAGTAACACATCACAAACCTGTTAGGTGAGAATGCCTTTCCTCTCTCACACATGCAGGTTAACGACCCTTCCCACTGCACAACTGTTGTACATGGTAACTTATGTTTATCACTACACATATGACAGGCACATGCTATTGTTTAAATTATAATGAGAGCTAGTATTTACTGAGGACTTACTACATACCAGTCACCTGTTGATTTTACCCGTATTAACTAATACAAACCTCAAAATGACCCTCCAAGGTAGGTCTCTTATTACTGGTCCTATTTTCCAAATGAGGAAACTGAGGCACAGAAAGGTTAAGTGTACTTGACTGAATTTTACTCCTACTAATGGGCAGAACTGAGATTTAATTGAGCAATCTGGATTTAGAGTCCATTTTCTTCACCAAGCTGACTCACAAGGAATGTCTTCATTCATTATCTCTCTGTGATAGGCATTGAGGATATTAACCCCAAACAAGCAAAGGTCCTTGTCTTTTTCTTTTTTTTTTTTTTTTTTTTCAGATGGACTCTTGCTCTGTTGCCCAGGTTGGAGTGCAGTGGCACAATCTCAGCTCACTGAAACCTCTGCCTCCTGGGTTCAAGCGATTCTCCTGCCTCGGCCTCCCGAGCAGCAGGGATTACAGGCGCCCACCACCACGGCCAGCTAAATTTTGTATTTTTAGTAGAGATGGGGTTTAACCATGTTGGCCGGGCTGGTCATGAACTCATGACCTCAGGCGATCCACCTGCCTCGGCCTCCCAAAGTGCTGGGATTATAGGCATGTGCAGCTGGACCCGGCCGGTCCTTGTCTTAAGGAGTTTACAGATTGTGTGTGTGTGTGTGTGTGTGTGTGTGTGTGTGTGTGTGTGTGTGTGTGTGTGTGTGTGTGTGTGTCCATGTATAAGGGGTAACCTCCCTAATGATAGGGACCACGTTTAATTCAGTTCTGTGAACAGCAGCTGAACCACCATATATGGGACACTATAGTGATTCCACAACATTGCAAAGGAAATGAACAAAGAAGGCAAGAGAAGGGACACAAGAGAGAAGGTAGGTGGGATGCTGTATGGGGGTATCTCGTCCCTTTAGACCATGGGGAACTCAAGAGTCAAGACTGCCCCATATAGAAGAGAATAACATCTCCCACTCAACTCCCACCTCCCCTCCACGGCAAACACTGGGACTAATGAAATAAATTGCCAGAACAGGTAATAATTCCCATGCCCTAGTATTCTAAAATCTCCAACGATCACATCCCACTGCTGGCATTGTCTCTAACCAAGTAGACACTAATAAGGAAGCTCACAGGAAAGGATACATTTCCAGCATACATAGGGCCACATAAAGGATCCCCGTTTTATGACTTTGACCCTGGAGAGGAACTCACTACTAGGAATTAAGCAGTTCCTTGGGGTCCAGGGGAAAATCTTATAGGGCCCTTTTACGTTCTAATGGCCTCACCACCATCTGGAGGCATCTGGGTCCATATCAATGTGTTACTTGTCTCTCTCTCAGCCGACTTGGCTGCTCCAATTAAATCTATTTCTTTTATCATCCAAGGTGTTAAGACTAATTACTTTAGCTCCTCTTTAAAGTAGTAAGAAAGACATGCAGATGCTCCTTGAGGAAATTTGAATTTGGTTACCTCCTCCTGAATTACTGAGTTATAGCACCAATAACAACTAGTTAAGACTTTGTCTCACAGCCAACTGCAATCAGATCTGAAGCACCCTCCAACAACATGCAAGTAGGCCAGGAGGATGTGTATATTTGACATACTGAAGCGATATATGTCCTGGGACAGACTTCATGGTATGGGGAAGTAATGGTTCAAAGTATTTCCTTTTATTTTGGCATTTTTTAACCCTAGTCGTTGCTAATTATCATCATCAACATTGTTATTTTAACTATTTTTATCATCAAAATGTTTTTTGGGTCAAAGACCTCTCCACAGTACTTTCACAGACATTATCTCATTTGAAGTTCGCAGCAAATTGGTATTTCCATTTTATGGACAAAGGGATTGAAGTGGCATGGGATTGAATAGATTTGTCCAAAGGAACAAGCCAGTAAGTGGCAAGTTGGAATTTATACATAGACGCCTCACTCCAACACCTCAGACATGGATTTCAGAATCAAAGGGACTCTTAGCATCTGGGGAAGGTTCTAGAATCAGAATCTCCTTCTCAGAGGGCTGTTATGAGCATGAAATGGGATAACGCACATAGAATGCTTGGCAGAATTATCAGAGGCGCTGACACATGAGCAGAGTCCGTAAATATCACCTACTGTTATTTTTACTATTGTTAATATTCAAAGAGAGTCAGACACTGAAAGTCTCTTTTCAGAAGACTTGGGATTTTACCTGTCTGATCTGTTTTAGTCGGATGAGGACATTTTTCACTTACAAAATTCAAAATAGAGAGAAACCACAAAACTTTGGTCTGACAGCCATTAAAAAGGGCAGCGGGGGAGTAGCTGTGCTACTAAGTTCAGATATGACCCTAAACATTCATCTCTTTTCCTAAAAGACTTAGGTATTGGCTTTGTGTTAGCTAGCTGCTTGCATTTCTGAAGCATCTGGCACTAAACCCTATAATCGGTTCAGTTTAAAAAAAAACTAGAACTAGTGTCTGGCAGCCACCTTTGAAGAGTGCCTAAAAATAGAAATAATTCACTGAAACCTCATTAGAATGGTGTTCAGGGATGCCAAGCTACCAGGGAATACGCTGCACAGTGTTGAGTAAGACCTCAGTAATATGGATGGAGAAGTCCCTGGAAGTGAATTATCCAAGAGTCAGAATTGAGTATTGTTTCATATGCAGAACATTTTATTATATGTGGTGCAAACAAATTACTGACAGTGTAATTTTAGAAGTATCTCTCACCAAATCCATTTGTGTGAACACATAAGAGTCCTCTGTTATAACCAAAGGGCTATATTAAATGAATATACCCACATAAAATGGGTTGACAATGGCCAGTTGATACATGGAGGTAGCAACTCCTCCCATTGCAATTTTATTTACAGTCCTGATGTGTCTAATAAAATGCCTTCTTAAAAATGCATAAGTAATTCTTGGCTTACATCAACTTTGGACAAATCCAAATTCTAAATACGCAAGACCTAAATTAGTTAGCTCTCTTCTATCATTTTTATACAGCTACCTAGGAATTTGCACACTCACAAAAAAATCATACAACTTAATACATACTCAGAGAACACAATGAGCCAAGAAAAATAGAATTTGCTGTACCAGCTTGTTGAGGTGAGTGAATGCACAGCTATGCTCATAGCTCCCAACAGACCCCAAACGGGGATTTGATGCTAAAAATTTTCTCAGAAGACACCTGTACAATCATAATAAAGAGATGATATGAGCACCAACTACTGTGTCTTTTACTATATCACATTGAGATTCTGACCTATGGCAAGTTAAAAGGCAGGAAGGATAAAATATTTCTATCATGGACGTTCTTGCAATAGACCGTTTCCTAATCCTTTACAAACCACAGGAGTTGCATTCTTGAAAAATATCACAATCAGCAAAACAGTGTTACCAAGATCAAGATGTTAACAGAAAAAGAGGAACATGGGGAAAATCATAAAAAGTCTCACACGGACAAATAAAATTAAGTTTCTTCCAAGTTTGCCATCACATCATGTAAAAATGGTTGGATGTATTTCCATAAAATCAGAAAGATCTGTGCAGACTGGTCTGTCTTAAAATATAATCTATGTGATGTACATGATATCTGCTTTGGGAATGTGGGTCACAGGGATACTCAAGAGACAGGCAGGCATTATCCAGAAAAGACAAAGAACAAAAGTTCTGGGCTTCAGATGGGTTGAGACATATCATAAATGTTAAGATGCTGTAGATAGAGAAAACAGTAGCTTCAGTGTAAACCCTGAACAACAAAATCAAAAGAGAATTGTAAAGTTCTTCTCAAATGGGCACAGGTGAGTAGCATCTGTATGCATACAGTTAAAGATGGTTAATAATCCTGGCCCTCAATGCCTAGATGGCCAGATAGTAAAAAGATTTCGCAAGAGACAACAGTAACCCTCTAAAATAAGCCAGCGTTTATCATTTTAAAATCCTGTCCTGGGAAAATCCTTCTATAATGCTAAGGAAACTGTGTAGTGCTGTAATTTACAGAAGCAGGTTCTCCTACAACCTCTGCAAGGGAGTTTCATTGATCTTCCTATGAGTTTTTTAAACTAGCTCTCGCTGATTTCAAGTTCAAAAGCATTTGTACATGCTCTTACCTTCTTACCTCTGTTTACTTTTCTACATCTAAGTCAATGTTCTATTAAATTGGTGCTTGTTTCAAAAATCACTGCAGTGTCTGCAAACAAATACCCATGTGGGTGCTTTAATTTAACAGGGCGGAGGTAAACCTAGGATATGTAGGAATAGGGCAGATTTAAATATTTTGGCATGCAAGTTTTGCACCTTATGTTGGAATCCCAGTTGTTCAAGTCTTGGTTAGCCAGGGACTACTGGAGTTCTTAGGACTGGGATTATTAGTTATTCTTATGGCCTTCGGCCTGCAGAAAATAACCCAAATAGCCCTAACTGACCCCCCTCTACCGAGATGAAGATATTCTGATATCTTCAGTCACTTAGCTAGTTGATGACCATAAAGCTGAGTTTCTTGACCTCAGCCAGCACAGACATTTTGGGCTGCTAACTGTTGGTTGTGGAGGACTCTCCTGTGCACTGCAGGATGTTCAGCAGCGTTCCTGGGCACTCTCCGTGAGATGCCAGCAGTGCCTCTACCCTGACACACCTAAAGTGTTTCCAGACATGGCCACATTGCCTGTGGGGCAAAACCCCCATTCCCTCCCTCCCCACTTCAGAACTGCTGCCATTAAAAGGTTAATACATTCAATTCAAAGTTCAAATCTTTACCCCATTCACTCACACTATGCTTACATAACCACAGCATTTATTCTATACTCTTTATAGCCTTTTTATAAAAGGGAGGAAACTAAAGAAAAAAGATGTCATCAAATCTATAAAATAATTACAGACACACAGCCTAAGATAATTTAGGATCGAAGATTGTAACTATGGACAAAAAGAAGAACATAATTTTAAGTTACAAGAAAATACCTCTTCAGCTATCAGCAAAACTGAGAGGCCTGAAGGCAATTATATGCAGATGACAATAACTGGGACCAATAATATATACTTCTCCCTCTACCCTCTTCAACAGAAAACCCAACTTTTCCCATTCAGTTCTTCACTGAGAGCACAGACCCTGGAGATATATGGTTGCCATTGAAATGCTGGCTCCAACACTTAGTGGCCTGTGTAATTTTGAGTAATTTATACTGAAAAAAGCTCCATGTCTCAGCTTCCACATCTATAAAATGGAGGTAATAATACCTTGAGGGGTCCCAGTGAAGATTAAGTGAGACACTGTATAGTAGTTGTCATTAGCATTTTACATCAGTTAAGTCCTCAGCAAATGTTAACTTTTATTAGTGGTGTTTGTATTCTATTTAGAAACATCTTGCAACTAATTTATCTGGGGGAGGAAAGAGAGGTAAGAACGGTTGTGAATATAAAGTGCTTTATGTCAGGAGTTCTCCCGATAAATCTAATCAGCTAAAGCATCCTACTAGGTCATATTCCAGGAAGACCAAATCTAGGAAAAAACAAAGTCGCTGGATTGAGAGTCACACAACTCAAATTCTTGGCTTGGCAGACTGCAAAGAGCTAGGGGACCACGGTCAATCACTTAACCTTTCAGAGGGTCAGGCCTGTCATCTGTCATAGTAAGGTTACTACAGAGTGCCTAAGATCTTCTCTGAGTTTACGAAAATCACATTCTGTGACTTACATGAAAACTAATGGCCAAAACAATTTTAAACTATCATTCAATGATGTACAAAAGCAAAGTACTTGGTAACGTCCTTGAAGTGCAATGATTTAATTTAAATAGATTTTCACATGGTCACATTCAAAGAATTCAAAGTCTCTTAATTATGTAATGCTTCGCCAATAATTAAATAGTCCTCTGTAATGTCCACTAAGAGGAAATTTGAATTACAGGCCATTTGCAGAAGAAGATGTGCTGAAAACACCTGATAGGCTATAAATTCAATGTTGTACATCCACAAATCTATTCCAAAACTGCAATTGAACATTAAGAATGACTCTGGCCTTCACTTAATGGTAAGTCCTATGAAATCAATTAGCTGTTAAAATAGTTTAATTGGAACATATGTATTTTAATTTTTGTTTGTGGATTAAAAAAAAGTCTTCTTAATCAACCCAAAACATTCTGAAATTGCACTTCTAGGTAATGTAGTGAAAGAATTGAACTTATATCTGGATAAAACCAAGGATGTGGAAAATGCCAGAAGGACGATATTCAAACAGCAGCAACTGGAAAGGAATAAATTAGGAATCATATTAGTTTACCGTCATTATCTTGTAAAGCAGTCTAAGAAGGAAGTTCTAAATAATCTACCACCATTCTCCAACACAAACTCAATTTTCTCAGACTCAAAAATAGTTCTTGTTTTTTTCTGGGGGTCTGGGGTTAGGGTGGGAATTTGGTAGATGGGTAAAATTACTAATTTATCCCTTCTCTCTCTCTCTCCAGAGTTAAAGGCCCTTGTTTCACACTGCCATCAGAACCATGAAAAGAAAAAAAAAAATTAAAACCATAACACGATAGAAAATTTATTCTTCATCAAAAAAAGAAAAAGACTCTTTTGGGATAGTTAAAAAGAATAAAAAGATTAATTTAGGTCACCATAAATAAAAGGAATGAATTATACTTTAATAGTGGTGTTCTGCTTTATACCAGAACAGAAGAAAAATGGAGAAAGAAGAGTCCAATTCTAAAATTTACAAGTCGAAACTTCATACTCTCAAACTGAAATATTTATCATTTTAAAAATATACATAAGATATAATTCTTGCATTATTCTCTTGAGATTTTATCTGCCTGACTTGATCTGTCCTCCCCTAGCTCCCAAAGATAAAATGAAGCTACTTTTGAAGAAAGAATTTTAAGGCCCTTCTGAAAACTTACTGTCCCTCAACTACTTTGAGGGCAGGACACAATTCTGAGGATACCTCATGATTTCCATGGAGCATGGCACAGAGAAGGTGCTTAAGAAATATGCAGAGTGAACAAATGAGTTAGCAAATGAATGCAAGAATGAATACATAAGCAAGAAAATCTTACATTGTTTGCTTAGAAAATCTGAAGGAGAAAGGGGGGAAAGAGGCAGAAAAACATAGACATGTAAAGAATAGCAAGAGCAAGAAAAAGTTAACAGATGAACTAAAACACACAGAAGCTAACTCATCAACTATCATAGAGGAACCCTAGTAAAGAAAAATGCAAGAAAGAGGCAGAGACAATGGGAAAGAAAATTAGCAAAATGATCCAAAAAACCCTCTTCACTCATCACCTAGTGAGATAAACGCATTTTATTGGGAAACCTTATAAAGATACACCCAGATACTCTTTACAGTAAAACAGTCCTTTAAGGCCTCTGAACGCACTATAGAATGGAGATGCATCCCTTTAACATGTTTGATCCAATGGAGCCCCAGGAAAGAGAGGTACCAACCTCAATGAATCGTTACACAGTCTTCATGTTCAATGTCCTTGACCAGCTCAAGAATCTTACACTTCTGACACAAACAGCAACCTTTTTGGGTGACGCTTACACAGCCATCTAGATATATGCTTTTCAAAAACCCAAATAATTAATAATGTGATAAAACACAGAGGTTTCCTTTAACTCAGTTTTACTTAGTATATATTTCCTGAGCAATAATTGAGGTCAATGCACTACTGTGAGGGCTAGGGAAAGGTGGGTTGGTGGTATACAAAAAGAAGAGGAACAAGACACAGACTTCAACTTCAGAGAGTTTATACTCTAGTAGTCTCAGGCTCTACCCCCTAATGCCTATTTTTTATAATTTGTAGCTAATAAGCTATTAGGCTGTCCCTTTCCAATCTAGACAATGGAGCCTAAATGTGTTTCCATGAAATTCAGCTAAGTATTTACACAATCAAGCCACAGTTTTAGCCGTGTGTAAGAGACATAATGATGAATGAAGACTCTCAAGCCTCAATGATCTCACAGTATTAATGCAGAAGAAAGCAAGTAAAATAACAGCTTTAATACAAGATGGAATGCTATAAGTCAGAGTGGGTCAAAGGAAGGACAGATCATATCTACCTATGGTGGGGAAGGAGGGGGAAGGTGAAATGCAGGGAAGTGGAGAGAAAGGCTTCCTCGCCAGCCCTGGATGGATGAGTCATCAAGAACTCCTCCTGCCTTCTCAATGTCTATAAATAATCCCAGGTGCTGCAATTCATTTAATTACTAAGCCTCTCCAGATGGAGAAAAATAATTAAGCAGTCTGTAACACCGACATGATATAAAGAATGGGTTCGCAACTTGCAAAGCATTTGAGTTCTGAAGTTTCCTTTCAACTATGAAAGAAGGGCAGAAATGAAAAGGGGGCAAATGACTCTACAGACCTGAGGGAAAAACCAAAGGACTACAGTCATATTCTGGGTAGAATTTAAATAAAAATGAAAACTGGTACAAAGGAAGGCAGCTCAACTCTCCCAGTAGAAGGAGAACATTAAATGAGGAAACTGCAGTAGAGTTGGTGACGACAGTTTGTCAAAAAGAAATAGTTTAAGAATGATGAATAAATCAGATGCAATTCAATTACTTCTTAAATGTATTCAGAAATATACCTATTGACTAGATCTCTGGATACAGACATGACAATCATTTTATATCTTTGTTTCTGATGCAAAGATTCAGAACTGACCACAGCCATAAAGGAGGCTGGAAACAATGTCACATAAGAAACGTTTCTTAATGTAGATGCTCTTGAAGAATCATGCATTTATGATTCCAAAGTTCAATGGAATTAATGAAATATAAATGAAATTTCAAGCATTCATATGACAATGGCAACTGGGTAATGAAATGAATGAGATGTTCCCCTTAAGATAATAAATTCAATAACAATATACTTCATGAAAAAACACAATTAACCAAAGATAAAGAACAGGAATACCAAACTTCTATGTGCATCTGACTGAAATCCATTAAGAAGGTTGCATGGTTAAAAGACACTTTGGTCCTAGTGAGAAAGTAGATGAAAGCATTTAATGGTGAAGAAACAGACGGAAGCCAAGGGAGAAACACCAGAACCCAATTCTGAGGGTGACGATAAAAGATTCTTGGCCTCAAAAGAACAGGACTACTTAAAGATAAGGTCATTGTAAGTATTGGGTACTCTTTCTTCTACCAACTTAAAAAGAAACCAATGAAATTGTTCTGTGAATTACAGTTTTTAAAAGCAAAGTATCCTTCCACAAATTGCCTAATTATTCCACTGATTCTATTTCATGTAAACCTGGGTTTTTATATTTATTTGTTTCACCAGATAAACCATGAAGGGTGTTATCAGAATCACACAATATTTTGAAACAGCATTTTAGGTTGCTGCAAAAGTAATTGCGGTTTTTGCCTTTAAAAGTAATGGCAAAGCCGGGCACGGTGGCTCATGCCTGTAATCCCAGCTCTTAGGGAGGCAGAGGCAGGAGCACAGCTTGAGCCCAGGAGTTCAAGACCTGCCTGAGCAACATAGTGAGACCCCGTTCTCCACAAAAAGGAAGAAAAAAAAAAAAGTAATGGCAAAAACCGCGATTACTATTGCACCAACCAAATAATAACTTCTGATATTTTATATTTTCACAGGCATTCAAATTAGGTTGACAGTAGAGAACAGAAGTTTTACTTTAACAAATAAAAAATAATTATTTTAGTTTCTGTACTTACATAAATCAACTAAACAAGTATTTATTCTCTTGAGTGTTTTAACAACAAATTCCTCTATCCCTTGACAATATTTTTATTTTAAATTTATGTTTTAAATCCTTTAAAAGCAAACTTTACTCTTACTTGTTCCCCTATGCTTTCGATAGGGAACAAACCCAAAGGTGATCTGCATGATCTAGAAAAAGGTGATCCTTCCTCCAGACACATTACTACCATGTGATGGAAAATTATAATATTACACTTAACCAGTGGCTACGAAGGGAGCGCACCTTCTAGAGCTGTCTGGGCCAAGATGTGGCTGCCCTGATTCACCGTCTTCCACACATGGAGGTTGTTCTTCCTTCCTTCACTTGTGCTCAACAGCAGACCTGGCTCTTCACCTTTTAGCACTGAGACTGACCCTCAACTCTTATCCGTTACCAAAATATATCAGCTGCCATTCAGAGTTACTGGGGTCCGGGCCAGTCATCATGATCTTAAGATCACGTTGATGTGAACACATGAATAAGACTGCTTGATGATTTTGTTGCAATGGGAACACACACTCCCTCCAAAGTAGCCACTAGACACATCTCGATTACTGCTACATCATCAAGACATTTTGTGTAAAACCTTCCATATTTAACTGAAGAAAAGAATCATAAACACTGTGTAAATTCAACAAATCATGCCTGTGAGCCACAATGGGGCAAAGTGCAAGTAACCACTACTCTAGGCCAATGTAAGGGTTCATTGGACAACCAGATGTCTGCTAGGTTTGTGCCTATTTTGGTGCTTTTGGGGGGCAACATTATGAACTTCATATCTAAGCACAGCAAAGGCAGACAGAAAGCCAAAATTACCAGGAATAATGGGCACATGTTGAGAACAAAAAAAGAAGCATGGATAGTGAAAAATTGAAATGGTAAAAAAAAATTATTCTAGTACATGAAGTAAATCAGCATCTGGACTACTGGTATCTCTGCAGAACTTGGCCTTGCCTAGGCCTGGGCTTTTGGGTCATTCTCTTTGTGTCACTCTGAATAATGAATATGTGGGTTTATAAGCACCAAGTCAGAGTATAGCCTTTTTACAAGTAGAGGAGTTCAACTCTTTTTGGCCGTTATTTGTGGGACCATGACAGTGAGGTTCTAGTGCACAGGAGAAGATTGTGTTTATTATGCTTAACACAGAAACTAGTACCACTCCTGGCATCGAATAGATGTTGAATAGATGACAAACCGTTCTTCAATACTAAAATGTAAGATGCCAGGTTTGAATTTGGAAATATACACCAAGATTTCTCTATTTTGGGAAGAAATATCAAACTCTCAAATTTATCATTCTTATAGAGAGCAAAAAAATTAAAAAATGAGATCTAACTAGAATGCCAAATTGAAGTAACAATTTTTTTTATTTGCATTGCATGACATAGTGAGAATTCAAGCATATAAGCACGTGTGTGCTTACAAGAAAGACAAAGGGGCCGGGCGCAGTGGCTGACGCCTATAATCCCAGCACTTTAGAAGGCTGAGGCAGGAGCATCACTTGAGCCCAGGAGTTCCAGACTAGGCTGGGCCACAAAGCAAGACCTTGTCTCTACAAAAAAATAAGAAAATTAGCCGGACATGGTGGCCTGCACCTGTAGTCCCGGCTACTCAGGAGGCTGTTGCAGGAGGATCCCCTTGAACCCAGGAGTTGGAGGCTGTAGTGAGCCATAATTGCACCACTACACTTCCGCCTGGGCAACAGGGAGATTTGTATCTAAATAAATAAATAAGAAGGACAAAGGAAGCAGCTTAATACAGCTGCTATCTATGTAAAATTATGTTTTTGTTTGTTTGTTTGTTTGTTTGTTTGTTTGTTTGTTTTGAGACGGAGTCTCACTCTGTCGCCCAGGCTGGTGTGCAATGGCGCGATCTCGGCTCACTGCAAGCTCTGCCTCCCACGTTCACGCCATTCTCCTGCCTCAGCCTCCCGAGTAGCTGGGACTACAGGTGCCCGCCACCACGCCCGGCTAATTTTTTGTATTTTTAGTAGAGATGGGGTTTCACCGTGTTAGCCAGGATGGTCTCGATCTCCTGAACTAGTGATCCGCCCGCCTCGGCCTTCCAAAGTGCTGGGATTACAGGTGTGAGCCACCGCGCCCGGCCTCTAATTATGTTCTATTTTTTATCATCTGACCTCTAATTTGTGTCTTTAGGATAGCAAGCCAAATTTAGAAAAGGACCTAACAAATGAAGTGTACATTAAATATCTTTATATGCAAACTAGTAGCGGTGTCCTCGAAATACTTTAAAAATTCAAAACCTAGATTTCACAGTGAGGTATTTTGTTGATTTGCACACCAATGTGTCTTGCCTGCCTAAAATTCTAATTGGTCTTATATTTAACAAGAGTTTATAGAGCTGAAAAAAATAGAAAGTGTTTGGGTAGAGCATGCCATAAACTAGTCCTTCCAGTACTCATAAAAACATTAAAAAGTTTTTTTTAAATTTTCTTTTAAGAAAGGTTCCCTATGAAGTAGAATCTTGGAGGTCTGAGCACAGGTTGGCATGACAGAGAAGGAAGCGAGGGTGCATCTGACGGCAGGGCCACAGGAGCAGAGGTCCAGCTGCATGAAAAGCAGCATGCTAAGGGAACGATGACAGAAAACCAGGTGTTAGCCAGGCATGTGGGAACTGTTTTAAGAGCAGTTTGTGTGGTCCCAGTTCTACCAAACACAAACCAATCACAGTTTAAGAACAGAAGGGGGCTGGGCGCAGTGGCTCACACCTGTAATCCCAGCACTTTGGGAGGCCGAGGCAGGCGGATCACGTGAGGTTGAGAGTTTAACACCAGCCTGACCAACATGGAGAAACCCTGCCTCTACTAAAAATACAAAAAAAAAAAATTAGCTGGGCATAGTAGCACATGCCTGTAATTCCCAGCTACTCAGGAGGCTGAGGCAGAAGAATCACCTGAACCCGGGAGGCGGAGGTTGTGGTGAGCTGAGATAGTGCCACTGCACTCCAGCCTGGGCATAACAAGAGCGAAACTCCATCTCAAAAAAAAAAAAAAAAAAAATGAACCGAAGGGGTCCAGACAGAACTCAAGTCATCTGCCAACAGGGCAGTGTCCAGAACATACTTCTGTTCATAAAAAGATAATATGTATACCATGGGGTCTCCATCCCACAGAAACATGGAGGGCTATAGATGCATACTATTTGGGAATTTCCAAGTGTCCGCTATGTTCCAGGAGCCATACTAGGAAGTCCTTTAATTACCACTGCAATCTACATGATGTATTAGCTGTTCTCTCTACTTCACAGATAAGGATACTGAGATTGAAAAGTTTAAATAACTACATTACCATTACACTGCAGAAATCATGGAATTCAAAAGCAAGTATCTTGACTCCAGTGAATAAGCTCTTAAAACACTATGCTCTATTGTGTTCATGAAAAGTAATGAGGAAAAAGAGATGTGTTGGAGAACAATGGGCAAATTAGACCAATACATAGCATAAACAGACAACTTCCAAAATACTTGACCACGACCCACAGTAAGCAATACACATTATATCATGACCCAGCATACACCCAGTATGCTTTACTGTGCATAAACAAATTCTATAAATACATTTACCTTTACTATATTTTACGGATATTTTCTGACTTATTTCCTATTCTATATTATTTTACGTCACTGTTTTTAAAATGCTGATCAGAACTTACTGAAATAATTTCATGGCTCAACAGTAAGATAGAACCCACTGTTTGAAAACCAGTGCCATAATCACCAATGGCAACCATTGTTCTTATTCTAGGTAGAATATCAAGCTTTTCAAATTTTCATCTGATCTCTCATTTGAGCCTTTATCTCCCTTGAGAAAAGGGAGAAATGTAGTTAAAAGGGAGAAAACTGTCACTCATGTGTCACCCATTGAAAAGGGTGGTGAAATTAACATACTCCAAACAAGAATGGCTCCACCTCAATGACAAACTTGCTCAAAAAGGCAGATGTCAAAGACGTGTTGGAGAAGGCTCTTATGTCTTTAACTTTCCTTTAGTTGTCAAAAAGACTTCATTTTCCAACAGAGACTCATTGGTGAAATGAACACCTTTATGTAGTCGCTAGGTCAACTTTAAGATTGAAAGACAAACCACAGATGCCTACTACTCAGACTACCTTACACACTAAAAAGCACCAAGGTCTCCTACAGGCAAGTTGGTCAAGGCACTCACTGATCAACACTACTTTGATTTGACTTATTAAAAAGCCTGAACAGCATTATTTTATCACAGGATGCAATGCTGGGATTCTAGGTGCAGAATCAACACTGAGTTATGAGCATTCATCAACACAATCATATTAAAAGAGAGGACAGAAGGATAAGAGTTCATAAATGTACCAACACAGAGATAGTTGCAACAAAAACTTTAGTTACTATGGGGATTTCTGAGAGGGAAAGAGAGGGGGTCTCTTTAGAAAAGTGACGGATGCTATTTATTAACTTACTTGCAAGTAATGTCAAATTTTAAAGTTGCTCAAAAAAACACCTTTTTTTTTATATCAGTCTCTTAATATGCTGAAGGAACCTGTTCAAAATGCTTCAGCGGCGAAGTAACTTAGATGATAAATGTGTTCTTCAATCTGTGCACCAGTCAAGTAGCAATAAAATCAGAGTAATTCATGCAAAAATTTTCATTATGTTTCTAAACATACTTATTTACATTTTAAATCACACATTAGACAATATGAAATATCTTTCATTTGGACAGGTGTGAACTAGAAAACAGATGCATTCATTAAACATGGAACAATTCGGCAAATTAAAAAAAATACTCAAAGAATTCTTTGAAGTACTTCAGCCACTGTTAACTTACTTGAAAAAATATGGCCATGGCTCCGATTATTCTGTTCTCAGAAATTGCGGTTTGAAAGCTGTCAAAGTCATCTGGATTGTAAAAGAAAATCTGCATCTGTAAGAACAATTAAAAAAATGTATTAGGAAAATTTTCAAACATAAATAAAAAGTTGAGAGAATAGTACCATAAATGTATATTCCCCAGTTGCTAATAAGATTTTGCCAAATTTATTCACCTGTTCATATTTTTCCTTTGCTAACTTTTTTTTTTTTTTTTTTTGAGATAAGGTCTCGCTCTGTTGCCCACGCTGGACTGCAGTGACTCAATCTCAGCTCACTACAACCTCCGCCTCCCAGGTTCAAGCGATTCTCCTGCCTCAGCCGAATAGCTGGGATTACAGGCAACTGCCATCATGCCCGCTAATTTTTGTATTTTTGTAGAGATGGGCTTTCACCATGTTGACCAGGCTGGTCTTGAACTCTTGACCTAAAGTGATCTGCTTGCTTTGGCCTCCCAAAGTGCTGGGATTACAGGCATGAGCCACCACACCCGGCCCTTTGCTAACGTATTTTAGAACAAACCCAGACATCATGTCATTTTACCCCTAGATATGTCAGAATATATCCCATCTTTTCACATAACTACAATGCATTCATGCCACCCAAAATAAGTAAAACCAATGCCTTCTAGTCCTCTAATAGCCAGGTCATGGTGAAATTTCCCTATTAAGAAGCAAAATTTTAATGGAGTTAACCACCTTTTTGCAAAAAGCTAACCCACACATTATTTTTCTTAATCCTCTTAACAAGCCCTGTAAAAAAAATTAGGGCAGAAATTACTATACTCAGCTATAGATGAGAAAATAGTGCTTCAGAAATTTGACGATAATTTGCCTACTATTACACATCAGAGAGAATCCAAAATCCATGTGCTTTCATCCCAACCTTAAATATCTTCTCTTACATTTGGCTAGCATTATGGTTTGTTTTTTTTTTTTTTAAACAAACAAACAAACTCACTCTCACTCTGTGGCCGAGGCTGGAATGCAGTGGCAGCCACCACGGCTCACTGCGGCCTCCATCTCCTAGGCTCAGTAGATCCTCCCACCTCAGCCTCCTGAGTAGCTGGGACTACAGGTGCATGCCACAATACCCAGCTAATTTGTGTATTTTCTGTAAGGACAGGGTTTTGCCTTGTTGTCCAGGCTGGTTTCAAACTCCTGGCCTCAAGCAGTCTGCATGCCTCAGCCTCCCAAAACACTGGGATTACAAGTGTGAGCCACTGGGCCTGACTAGAATTTCTTATTCAAAAAGCAGAACACAGGTAAGTCAACTCAGAATCATTATACAACTTTAATGCTGGCACACATTTTGACATTTAAAAAGATGCAGAGAACAGTTGGATGCAGTGGCTCACGCCTGTAATCCCAGCACTTTGGGAGGCTGTGGCGGGCAGGTCACCTGAGGTCGGGAGTTCGAGACCAGCCTGACCAACATGGAGAAACCCTGTTCCTACAAAAAATACAAAATTAGCCAGGCATGGTGGTGCATGCCTGCAATCCCAGCTACTCGGGAGGCTGAGGCAGGAGAATCACTTGAACCTGGGAGGCGGATGCTGCGGTGAGCCGAGGTCATGCCATTGCACTCCAGCCTGGGCAACAAGAGCAAAACTCTGTCTCGAAAAAAAAAAAAAAGATGTAGAGAACAAAAATGAACCATTGGGTATCCCCAGAAGCCTCCACACTGATTAAAAAACAAACAAACAAACAAACAAACAAACAAAAAAAACCAGACCTGGGTTCCTATTCCAGCTTCCTTACTTGCAAGCACCAGCTTTCTTAGGCATAAAGTCAAGTATTTCCACTTACTGGGCTAATTGTGAGGCTCAAATAAGTTAACGTAGTGTATAACATGAAGCACCATGGTTAGACCTCATCGATGCTCAACAAATCACCATCATCATCACCATATATACATATGTATTTTTTTCTAAGATAGGGTCTCATTTTGTCACCCAGGCTGGAGTGCAATGGCATGATCATGGCTCACTGCGGCCTTGACCTCCTGGACTCAAGCGATCCTCCCACCTCAGCCTCCTAAGCAGCTGGGACTACGGGTATACACCACCATATCGGGCTAGTTTTTATACATATATATATACATTTTTAGAGGCAGCGTCTCACTATGTTGCCCAGGCTGGTTTAGAGTAACTGAGCTCAAGCAATCCGCCCACCCTGGCCTCCCAACGTGTTGAGATTACATGCACGAACCACTGCGCCTGGTCATCATCATCATCATCATATTTTAAGATTAACATTTGGCAAACATCTTAACATTTCTAGTAAGAGTGTGATTCCACTGAACCATCTAGAATGATGGTACTCCTTACAGAAAACAGTATCTTCTATATAATTAGTTCTTTCATGACCTCTATTTCCCTACTTTTCCAAAAGGCGTGATGCTATTTTCTGTAATAGACTGAACAACCACACCCCAGAGAGATTTAGAGATTTGACGGTGAACAATAAAGTCCCAGAAGGAAAAGCTAAATATAGGTCAAAGGTAAACAGAGTTCTGATGACTGAATTAACTCAAATGCTAAGAATACAACGGCATTTCTTCTGTGAAGAGGGCAATCAGGTAGCCCAAATCAGGACACTTCCTAGGAAAATTCTGATACCTAAGTACATGGGAGAAGGATGGGTAGTTTTCTTTTGGAGAGTTTTCTTTCTTAAAGGTAATTCTTTTTCCTAAGACTGTAAATTTGCACCAATTCTGGCAGTTTCTTACAAATGTGTTGCCTTACGGTTTGGACAGCTTTAGACATCATGAATTTTTAGAGAAAAATCCATTCAATAAGGTACAGATTAGAATGGTTTAATATTAGGTGAATTGCTTTGGATACAATACTACTAACCCAAGAAAGAAACTTAACACAGGTGTATTCAGAAAATTACACTTCACTTTCTTTTTAAAACTCAGGCCCTCAAATTAAGTAGGTTCACAGAAGGCTTTCTTATACTTCAGCCCATGTGCAGGAGCAGCATTGTTTAATGCATCACCCGAATAGCGTGTGATACAAAATACTTTAAGACCTCTTCAAGGGCATTTTCATTTACAAGTGGGTAAAAAAATACATTTTTAGAAAATGTGTTTGGGTCACAGCTCCACCCATCTGGATAATAAAATGTCTCATAAAAAGGACAGTAGCACAGGTCTGAAATATCTATTTTTCTTACTATTTTTCTCAAGTTGTAGCCTAACAAATTACGGTAATATTTGAAGTGTCTAAAATGTAAGAATAAGTAGATGAGGTTTTGCTGAGTGAATTGGACATGCGTGAATTGAAACATACTTTGTCAGCGGTGGTGATGTCCAAGTTTGGACAGAGGCTGGAAACTATTTTCCAAAAACACCTTTGGCAGGTGTTTGGGGTAGCTACCATCAATTTTATCCTCAAAATGAACTGTGCCCAGAGCCCTCCCTTCAACATTCTGGGCTCTAGATCCCAGAGCCCTCCGTTCAATATTCCCCAAAGTCTGTTCTTTCTAGTAATGTTAATCTAAGTGATGCTCACTCTACAGCAATCCTTCTATGAAGAAACGTGGTGTACGTAAGCTGAAGAAAAGATCTGGGGCCAGGTGCAATGTGGCTCATGCATGTAACCCCAGCACTATGGGAGGTCCAAGTGGGAGGACTGGTTGAGAACAGGAGTTTGAGGCCAGCCTGGGCAACACAGTGAGACCTCATCTCTACAAAAAATTAGCCAGGAGTGGTGAGTGTAGTCCCACCTATTCAGGAGACTGAGGTGAGAGGATTGCTCGAGCCCAGGAGGTTGAGGCTATTGAGGCTACTGAGGGCTCCACTGCACTCCAGCCTGAGTGACAGAGCAAGATCCTGTCTCAAAAAAAAAAAAAAAAAAAAAGAAAGAAAAGAAAAGAAAGGAAAAAAAGAAAAAAAGATCTGGAAAATCCAGCAATAAAGGGATCTATTAACTGTTCCCTATCTCCTTTACCCAGTATCACCAATTATTTATACTATACCTCTTTTGCGCTCTCTCTGTATACACACACACACACACACACACACACACACACTCTCACTTTTTTTCCTCAATCATCTGGGAGCAAATGGGAGATAATAGGCCCCTTTACCACTAAATACTCAAGTGAGTAATTTCTAAGAATAAGGACATTCTCTTACATAATCACAGAATAATTATTAGAATTACCAAACTTCACATTAACACAATACTATTATCTAATTCACAGACCATTTTCAAGTTTTGGCAAGTGCCCAAATAAAGTCCATTACAGATCATTTTCTGGTTCTCAGTCCAGAACTCAATCTAGGATCAAACTTTGTATTTAGTTGTCCTGTCTTTTTACACTGACCTCTTCCAACCCCATCTTCATCCGGAACAGTTACTGAGCCTCTTTCTTTACTCTGACAGTTGGAAGCGTACAGGGCAGAAATTTCATAGAATTGAGGTTTGTCAGCTGGGTGTGGTGGCTTACACCTGTAATCCCAGCACTTTGTGAGGCCAAGGTGGATGGATCACTTGAGGTCAGGAGTTTGAGACCAGCCTGGCCAACATGGTGAAACCCTGTCTCTACAAAAATACAAAAATTAGCCAGGTGCGGTGGCAGGTGCCTGCCACTTGGGAGGCTACTTGGGAGGCTGAGGCAGGAGAATCACTTGAACCTGGGAGACGGAGGTTGTGGTGAGCCGAGATTGCGCCACTGCACTCCAGCCTCGGCAACAGAGTGAGACTCAGTCTCAAAAAAAAAAAATTTATATCTTCTCCGTGCATCATATCAGCAAGCACATTTATGCGGGTTTATCCCGCTATTGGAGGTATTTATCTTGATCATGTGGCTAAGGTGCTATCTATTGGGCTTCTCCACTATAATGTTATTAATTTTCCTTTCATAATTAAAAAGTATTTTGTAGAGAGATACTTTGGCATGAGATAAATATCCTGCTCCTCATTTAATGTTGACTCACTACTTTAGTATCCTTGGGTGACTTTCTAACTCCACCATTCCTTCTATATTCATTACTGGCATTCTAGAGTAAGGAATTGCTTTCCCTGCACTGCAGTTTATTCACTTATTCATTCATTCATTTACATCCATATGGACTTGTTTATTTTTGTTTCTATTTATTCAATCCATTATCAGATATCAGATTCCATTACTAACATTATGTATTTTGATGCTCAGATTGTCCCACATTTGCCCAGTAGGAGACCCTTCAAAACTATTTCCCTGTCACTCTGCCACGTTCTCCTATTTTTTTATTTTTTAGCAACTCCTATCAAGCACAGATGTTTTGGGCTCATCCTACATTTTCCCTGCCCTATCCCTAGAATTGGCCATTTAAGTCCTGGTTCAAAGGTTATTCGAAGACTTAGTAACTTTAACTCAGTATTTTCCAAACATAGTTGAAATAGAATACTTTGGGTTTGATTCTTTAAGAAAACTATATAGCTTAAAGGTCGATGAACCTATTCCAAGCAGGCCTCTCTTTTGCAAGGGAAGGAAAGTTGAATCAATCCTGTATAAACAGACATTCCTTCATCATGTAGAGTTCCATGAGATAGCAGATACTATATATGATATACATAAAACACACACACACACACACACACACACACACATACACATATATATTCTCAAGCACAGAAACAAACTCTATGAAACTCAATTAAAAAGCCACCGATAGACTGCTTGCACCAGGGCACAATCATGGGACCAGTTCTGCCAAATTTTTCAAAGTCGTAAGTGAGAGTCATTAGCCCAAATGGATCATTCAACTCTGCCTTGTGGAATGTCTTGACTGCAAAACCCTCCAGGTGTTTTTCTAGCCAGATCAAGGTGATGGATAACATAGAGTATCATATAGCATAATTTGACATTTGGAAAATGGAATTTTACAGGGGCAAAACAACTCACATTAAAAGCATCATCATCGACCAGGAAACATGTCCTAAAATACATATATGGCAAATGCCTGCATGAATCCCAATACTGTCAAGTAATGGGAGGGAGGTGAAAAGGACACTGTGAGTACAGGGTTGACAACAGTCAATGCTCCACTGTTGTAAGGTACTAGTGTGATACATACAAAGTGACAACAAAATGTCCACCTAGCTTCCCTTTCCTCCTGCCTTGTGCAACTTCTCCCTTACATTTAAAATAATTCCAGTTGTAGTTTGACTTTACAAATGTGTATATGTCTGGTTTCCTACATGTGTCACTGTCCATGTTAAGTTGAATGAATAGAAAGCAACAAATCTGAAAACCTGAGCCTTTGATACTTTTAATCATATTAAAACATTGTTAATGTTTTTCAAACCTTTAGTAAGTACCTACTGTATGCTAGGTACTGTACTATGATTCATTGGCACTCAGTGAGATAGGTATCCGTACGATTCTCATTTTATAGGCAAGGAAACTAAGGATTTACAAAATTTGTAATTTGAAATTTACAAAGCTCCTAAGGAAGGAAAGTGGGGTTGGGACAGAAAAATTATATTTCAAAATTGTCTTTCAAATCTCAGAGTTCAAGATCTTAATCACTGTGCTTCCTTCCAATTGGCAGGAGTATTGCTTAATGCCTATTGTCTGTAAGGCACCATGACAGATGAAGATACAGTCTGCACTTAGGAAGACTAAAATATCATTAATGAGACAAGGTTAACTTTATTTTTGAGTGCCAAAGCTGACTGAGTGTATCACGAAATAAAAGCATAAGGCAATGAGTGGCTCATGGTCAAGTGAGGCATCTATTAAACAAATACTACATTTATACAGGCAATGGGCAGGAGGGGGCATTTCCCAGAAGGTGTGTTGTGTGCCTACTATTATAGTTGTGTGCCTAAGTCAGCTCCCTGGTTGCTGTGATCATGGAAGCAAAAGGAAATGATCCCAACATGAGAGTAGAAAACCCAACAGTAATTTATATGCAGATTTAGAAAGCTCTACGTTTTATTTCCTCTCAAAAAGCGATTTCTCCCACGTGCCCCCCACACATGGTCCAAGAAAAAAAATCATGACGGAGTAAGTAAGGAAACAGCATGCAGATAGCTCAGGGGGAAGGCAATCTACTGAACGACTCAATAGACATTTCCAGGATACTGCTGGGGATTTTTATTAAAGTGGAAGAACACACAGGCAAAAGCTACAGAAAAGAACAGATGGAGATGAGACGTAAACAGGACGAGATAAAGAGGGTAACCAAAAAGGCAACAGCAGAATTAAAAATCACATAGGAGGCAGCAGACAACAGAACTGAGGAGGTGGAAATGTATTTTTCTTTTTTTTTCTTTTTTTTTTTAATTATACTTTAAGTTTTAGGGTACATGTGCACATTGTGCAGGTTACTTTGACAAACCTGGGAAACGTATTTTTCTAATCAAGCTTGGTGTTAACCTGCCAGTGGGAACGTGGTGGTGGACAAGAAACAGGTGCCTAAGAATAAAGATGTGAAGTGAAGGCAAAGTAAACATCCAAACACAGTGAATCTGCCAGTTCTGCTTTTTTGATGACATGCGTAGGATGATGACAGAGTTAAGCATTTTGTAAAATAAGCTCCTAATCTAACATGATTTTTAAATTATTTTGTAACGGCTAGTATTAAGGAGGCCAGGACGCACACACTCAACACACTACACTCTAACTCTAATTCTGCCATTGCCTGTAGACAGAAAGATGTATGCACGCAGGACGTAAGTCTGTGCAGTGCAAGGCTGTGTCCCTAGCACAGTGCTGCCCATTGTAAATACTAGTAATTTATTTCTGGAATGAATAAAATGAGTGGGAGCTCTAAGTGGCTTGAAGCAAGGACAGCCAAGTGATAAAGCCATAAACACTAACAAAATCCATGCCATCTCTTGGAATAAATAACAAAATCAGTGGCAAGGAGGGCTCAAGATATTGAAAGAATGAAGGAATTTAAACTGCTGGAGTAAATGCTCAGAAAGGTGCAAATACAAGCCAAAATCACTGTGAAATGGCCAAGTGACTCCAGGTATGGTTCTGCTAAATACAGATTATGTTACTTTCTCTTTAATTCACAAGAAAGTCAAACCATTGTCTAAGTAACTCTGGCCTAAAATTTTAATACTTCAACAAAAGAAGATCTATTCATTTAAATTATGGAGAAAAATGATAAATATACATTATACATATTACATTAAAATACATAACACAAACACTCTGGGTATTTTGTTTTATCCTATTGAACAAAGTTTTTATTCCTAGTTACTTTTTAAAAGGATCATTGTTATTTTTTGTGAAAGTATTTTTTACATGTGATTAACATTTAAATCAGTAGACTTTAGAAGTAAAGCTGATTACCCTCTATAATGTGGGTGGGTCTCATGCAATCAGCTGAAGACCTGAGGTCTTTTTAAGAGGAGGGAATTCTGCCTCTACACTGCAACACAGATTGAGCTCAGGTTTCCAGCCTTTGAACTCAAGACTGCAAGATCAACTTAGCTAGAGTAACTTAGCTAAAATTCATGAATTATAGGCCGGAGTTACTCTGTGCGTGCATGTGTGTGTGTGTGTGCGTGTGTCTGTGTGTGAGAGAGAGAGAGAGAGAGAGAGAGAGAGAGAGAGAGAGAGAGAGAGACATCGATCCTATGGCTCTCTTTCTCTGGAGAACCCTGACTAATACACCCCCTAAAATCATTACCGGTTTTAAGCAAACATACACAGGTATGTCTGTCTGTGTATCACATTATAAAACCATTTTGCAACTCCGTTACTTTTTGAGCTTCTTTGAGCTCTGAACTCTATCATCTTCTCTCACTTCTTTCTAACAGGCTTCTACCTTGGAGAATGTAGCCCCTGTTACAGCCCAGTTCACACTCTTACAGCTTACAGAAAAATATCCATAAAGTTGGCAGTATTAGATGAAGATCTAAGAGTATTTGCTATAGAATAAGACCGGATTTGTATATTGAAGAGCCTGGAGATTTCTAAGGCCCAGTGTCCCCTTCTGTGAAATAGAGGTAATACTCACACCTCAAGGGGCTGTTGTAATACATTTTCGCTAAGCGCTTGCTTTGGAGAAGTAAAAACTGATGAAACAGCTCTCATTTTTCTCTTACAATATGTCCTGATGACTTTCTTCATGACCAGAAGGGATACTTAAAGTAAGGTTCAAATAAACCATTTCCACAGGCTAGCCAACATCCCAAGAAGTCATGCCACAGGGTGTGGCAAAGAAACCAGTGTGTGGCATTCACTGGAAGAATATTTTTAGAGGAACCAAGCTCTGAAGAATAGTAGGTAGCGGGTATCTTTGCAGGCAAGGTGGCATTTAAATAAACATTCTCAAACACTTCCTTTATGCAATATCATTAATCACAGAGTACACTAATCCTTAATTATTTCCTGTTTTCATTTGCCCTGTAACAGGGAATTATCTTCAACTACTTTACGGCAGGAATCCCAAGTTTTGGGGCAGTAGAACCTAAGGTGCACACTAGGGCTATGAGGCATATACTTGGGTGCCAGGATGTTTTTGAGATCTCCTGGAGCCAAGGAGTTTGAGACCAGCCTGAGAAACATAGGGAGACCTTATCTCAAAAAACCAAACCAAACCAAAACAAAACAAAAACACTAGCTGGGCATGATAGCATAGACCAGTAGTTCTAGCTACTCAGGAGGCTGAGGCAGGAGGATCACTTGAGCCCAGGAGTTCAAGGCTGCAGTGAGCTGTGATTGCATCACTGCACTCCAACCTGGGTGACACAGTGAGACTCTGCTTCAATTAAAAACAAACAAACAAACCAAAACAGAGTAGGGCCGAGTTTACTGCCCTGTTTTGCATTCATTCCATTTAATATAAGCTACTTTAAATCTGACAGTATGGTCAGATTGAACTTACCTGCTTGACGGAGCAAGTTCCAGTGACTGGCCTTAACATAGAGAATCCCTCCAGCCTAGGGCCCAATAACTATTACAAGAGCCAGGCACTGCCCCTGCCTACCCTTTCCCCTGAGGCAGCCTCAAGCATAAAGCACTCAGGAGGGTTGTTTAAATGTGCCCGATTCTGAACGTTTTACATCAATTAATTCCTTAAATCAATACTACTATTTTCTAGAAGTGATACTCTTATTTTTCCTATTTTATACAGAAGGAAATTAAGGCTGAGATAGTAGGTCTTATCTAAGAAGTAATTAACACTGGGACTCAAATCTAGGCATTTGCTTGTAGAGCCCACTTACTTAAAACTGTTCTACCACACAACATCCTCACCAGAATTCCATTAGCAATGAGCACTACCTGTTAGTTCTCTCTAGGGTCCTAGTACAAAGCTTCCAGAGCAGTGTTCTTAACATGGGGTGATTCTGTACCCCAGTGGAAATATGGCCATGTCTAGAGACATTTTTGGTTGTCACTCTTTGAGGGGGTGATAGGCATCTAGCACAGAGGTCCCTAACCCCCTCATCTGTATTTACAGCTGCTCCTCATAGCTCACATTATTGACTGAGCTCTGCCTCCTGTCAGATCAGGATGCCATTAGATTCTCACAGGAGCGTAAACCCTATTATGAACTGCGCATGCAAGGAATCCAGGTTGCACGCTCCTAATGAGAATCTAATGCCTGATGATCTGTCGCTGTCTCCCATCATCCCTAGATGGGACCATCTACTTGCAAGAAAACACGCTCAGGGCTCCCACTGATTCTACATTATACAATTATACATTGTAAAATTATTTCATTATATATTACAATGTAATAATAATAGAAATAAAGTGCACAATAAATACAATGCAAGTGACTCATCCTGAAACCATCGCCACCATGGACAAGGTCCGTGGAAAAATTGTCTTCCCCAAAACCGGTCCCTCGTGCCAAAAAGGTTGGGGACCACTGATCTAGCAGGTAGAGGCCAGGGGTGCTCCTAAACACCCCAAAATGCAAAGAATAGTGCCCCACATCATGGGAGTTTCCTGTGCCTACTCACGCTTTGGAGGTTGACAAAAGAAAAAAAAAAAAAAGAAAAGAATTATCCACCCAGAATGTCCATAGTGCTGAGATGCAGAAACCCTGTCCTACACCCCCTGTCAACATGAAACATTATCAGTGGGCATGGTAAAGCCCTTTGTTTTTCTTTCCCTTTCACACCACTACTGAACCTTGAGGGGGAGGATCAAGTCTGCTGTGAGGGAGCTTGAAACTGGGAGAGCAGTTGATTTTTTTTTTTTTTTTTTTTTTTGAGTCAGAATCTCTCACTTTGTCGCCAAGCTGGAGTGCAGTGGCGTGATCTCGGCTCACTGCAACCTCCTCCTCCTGAGTCCAGGTGATTCTCCTGCCTCCGCCTCCTGAGTAGCTGGGATTACAGGCACGTGCCACCACATCCAGCTAATTATTGTAATTTTAGCAGAGAGGGGGTTTCACCATGTTGAGCAGGATGGTCTAGATCTCCTGACCTCATGATCCGCCCACCTCGGCCTCCCAAAGTGCTGGGATTACAGGCATGAGCCACCGCGCCCAGCCAGGAGAGCACTTTTGTCCATACACATAAACCAGTAATTTCAACTTCTCTTGAGGTGACTGCAATGGCTTTCTTTTCTAATGAAACAACGTTTCCTTGCTTGCATGGCTATTCTATGTATAAAGCTGGTTCTGAAATGCAGTGGAGCTTAACGCCTTGGACACAGTGGAGGGGGAGGGGCCCCTAGGTGCATCTGGAACTCATTTGTATTTCAAAAACACAAAAATCACTACCACAGTGTTTGTGCTCTTTGTAATATGAAACTTTTTAGAAATTGCTTTGTACTTGGGAGTAACAGCCACATGATTCACCATGAAATGAAGTCTGGAAAATCATTTTGGATAAATGGACCTATAAATTCAATAGAATTTCCATGACAACATAGACTGCAACACTCAGCCACAAATAAAAGGTTATAAATCATTCAAAACCAACTAGGAATCAGCAATATGTCTCCCATTTTGAAATACAAGAAACCTGAAATATAGTTTGTTACTTTCTCAACCAAAGTTACCATTAGAGTTCTTTCCTCATTTCTGATATTGTATTTTCCACCTCGTCATGTTTTCGGGGAAATGATGACGTCATGAATTTGCAATTAAGCTAAGCAAAATTAACACAGGTGTAGATCTAGTTGGTTGTATTCCCTCCTCTTCTCCCAGCCAGAGACCTCCAAGAAAGCTTGTCACAAAGACAAGTTATGCTCTTTTATCTGGAAAACTACATTTTGCACTATACAGCTGAATGCTACCACATCATGGTTCTCCATAAGAAAAAGGTTGCTGCAAAACATTTCTGAGAACACACATCCAAAACAACTAAAGGCTTCCAAACGCTTCTGAGTTCTATAAATCCAAACCACACCCTTTAGTGTCCTTGGGAGAACCTCTACAGTGAAGTATTTTTAAGGTTAGCTGGGTCAACTGGTCTAGAACATCTGTTCTTTAAAAGAGCTCTTCTGTTCCTGAGGTCATCTTATCATTTCTGGTGGAGATCCCCTTACAAAAGGTTCTTCTGGATGTTGTATCATGACCTCTCCCACTGGGAGGGTCCTTACAAAGCTAAGCACATGGTAGGCACTCATTAAATGACTATGGAATGAATGAATGAGTTATTTCCCACACAGGAGAAAATACGTTGCATTGCTCCACCGGGATTTTTTATTATTATTATTATTCAGTATCCCTTAAAATAACCAACAGCATTGGTCAGATGACTGATCAAGGGGGAAAAACAAATTTATGGAACTATGAATCTGGCTTCCAGCAGGGCTGCAAGCCCCCTGAAAGACTGCCAAAGGTGGTACATGTATTCACTGAACAGTGTCCATCACTTCAACAGTTCATTGATCAGACAGATTTCTATGGTTCCATCTACAACCATGTGCTGAAAGACCCATTTTCAGCCCTGGTCTCATGCGGTACACAACCATGGACTTCCCTGGAATCTTCAAGGGCTCCACAAGCTAGAAAGGTTAAAAATCACTACCTCTAAAAAAATATGTAAACATGCCTCAGTGAGCAAAAAATCCCTCCTCTAAGACAGATATCTAGAAGCAGTTCAAGCCAAACCATCCCCTGAAAAGATTACACACATTTTTTTACTCTAATCAACAGTGCAGGAGAATACCAATTTTCCTATACCATTCGTAACACTGGATTTATGGATCCTTCTTATTTTTTACCATTGGATGGGTACTTCTGCTCTCATTTAAAAATTTCCAAACAAGGCTGGGTGCAGTGGCTCACACCTATAATCTCAGCACTTTGGGAAGCCGAGCTGGGAGGATCAGGAGGTCAGGAAATCAAGGCCATCCTGGCTAACATGGTGAAAGCCCATCTTTACTAAAAAATACAAAAAATTAGCTTGGCGTGGTGGCACGCGCCTGTAATCACGCTACTCGGGAGGCCGAGGCAGGAGAATCACTTGAACCAGGGAGCTGGATGTTGCGGCGAGCCCAGATTGCACCATTATACTCCAGGCTGGGCAAGAACAGTGAAACTCCGCCTCAAAAAAAAAAAAAAAAAAAAAAAAAAAATCCAAATAACCAGTAAGTAAAGAATCTTTACTTAGTTTTTTCTAATGATTTCCTGTTTTATTATTTAAGGAGCTCTTTATTCACAATATTAATACTTTGCCACAAGTGCTGCATATACAAAGACAAATATTCAAGTATCTATGCCCCACCATCGATGGCATCAGGGGAAGAAAAACTTGATATGCATAATAAATAGGAGAATGGTAGAACCTACGGAGGGGAAGGAAGAAATTAGGCACTAATTTGGGAGACTGAAGCAGGAGGATTGCTTCAGACCAGGAGTTCAAGACCAACCTTGAAAGTTCTCAGATATATTGTTAGAGGAGAAAATCAACTTGCAAAATAAATACACTGTGATCACATTTGACTTTAAAAATGTCATACAACTCAGTATAGTTTGTGTCCTGTGGGTATATGCCCAAGTATATAGATCTAAGGCAAGGGAAGGCTCACGTCTGGAAAAACAGCACAAACTAACAGTAGTTTTCTCTGGGGAGAAGACTTGTATTCATTTGGGGCCAAGAAAGGTGGTTTATCCCAACTGTTTAAAACACTTGCTGGCTCTAAAAATGTAGCTCATCGGAAAAAAAGTCTCCCTTGAAATGAGCAGAAAAAGAAAAACCAAAAAAGAACAAAACCCAAACCCCACCACTGCTGTAAGAAGAAGAGGGTGAATCTAATAGATCCATTTAGGGACCTAACTCAGAAGACCAGCCTCATCAGCAAAGTGTTCTAAAGGAATGCATCCATCAGCCCCTAGCAACAGACAGCTCCACATCACGCAGGGTGTAATCTTCCTTTATTCCTGATCTCACTGTAACACAATTCACTCTTCATGTATCTTTTACCACAATGAAACGCACAACTACTCAAGCTCACTAACACTCCAAAGGAAACAAAGAAATAAAGAAAAGATTGAGGCCAGGTGAGGTGACTCACACCTAGAATCCCAGCATTTTGGGAGGATGAGGCAGGAGGATTGCTCGAAGCCAGCAGTTCAAGACTAGCCTGGGCAACATAGCGATACTAGTTCTCTACAAAAAATATAAATAAATAAAAATGAAAATCGAGGTACTGTTTCAGATTTATGCAGAATTTAATTTACTTAACACAGCTGCTCTACTAAAAAGTGTATTTATTTAGACTAATAATTTCCCACCTACCTAGCCATAAAATTACACTGTGCACTATAATTTTACTTTATATAAACACAAAGTATTAATATTAACTCTCTCAGACCGTATCTTTGCTCAGAAGGACACCAGAGAATCAGAGAGCAAAACAAGGCTGCCCAAAGCTCAGCAAAGCACGTCTTCCTGATATATTGGTTAAAACCCAACAGGAATGATTAGAGAGAGGCATTTTCTGAACTGGATAAAGGCTTTAGTGGTAAAAAGAACAGTGGGCTGCCACCATTGTAGCTTTGATCATAGTTCAAAATCCTTGGCTTGATGATCTTTCTATCAATTCTCTGGAAAATGTGGATTTCAGAATCTCATAATCAGAGAAAACATATGATGGAGTGGAAAAGATAATAATTAGAAAATGAAAGTTCAAGTTCAAGCTCTGCCTCATCGGGTGCTAAGATCAGGGGTAAATCATTTAATTATTCTGGGTCCCCATTTCCAAATATGCAAAATTGAGATGATGCTTTTACATACATTTGAATGATGATGACTTAAAACAAAGTTTGATGATTGAATATAACCTTACACTAGTTTGGGGTTAGTATTTAACACCACAGGGCAAGTAAGAATGCCACAAAATTGGCTGGGCATGGTGGCTCATGCCTGTAATCCCAGCACTCTGGGAGGCTGAGACGGGCAGATAGCTTGAGTTCAGGAGTTTGAAAACAGCCTAAGCAACATGGTGAAACCTTATTTCTACAAAAATTAACTGGGCATGGTGGCACATGCCTGTGGTCCATGCTACTTGGGAGGCTGAAGTAGAGCAATCACTTGAGCCCAGAAGGAGGTCAGGCTGCAGTGAGCCATGATTGCCCACCAGCCTAAGTAACACAATGAGATCCTGCCTTTAAAAAAAACAATGCCATAAAATCTATGAGATGAGATCAACATTATCTTCTTACTCATCATTAGTATAATTGTAATTTCTACAAAACTTCTTTTCAAAAAATAGATGTCTCTGTTGAACTGGTTACTTGATAGGGAATTCATTTACATATGACTCAGATCAAGTCCCTCATTAATTAGATTTTCCCATTTTCTTATTGTTTCATATGCTTTCCCCCCAACATTTTATTAACTAAAAGCATTAAGCATACGAGCAAAGCTGAAAGAATTTTGCTGTGAACACCTGTATACAACCCACCTAGATACCTCCCTTAACATTTAAATGTACCTGCTTTATCAAACAACAGTTCATCCTGCTATCCATTCATTTAATCCCATACTAAATTTTTGAGATGGAGTTTCGCTTTTGTTGCCCAGGATGGAGTGCAATGGCACAATCTCGGCTCACAGCAACCTCCACCTCCCAGGTTCAAGATATTCTCCTGCCTCAGCCTCCTGAGTAGCTGGGATTACAGGCACGCGCCACCACGCCCAGCTAATTTTATATTTTTAGTAGAGATGGGGTTTCTCCATGTTGGTCAGGCTGGTCTCGAACTCCCAACCTCAGGTGATCCACCTGCCTCGGCCTCCCAAAGTGCTGGGATTACAGGCGTGAGCCACCACGCCCGCCCCCCCATACTAAATTGTAACGAAAAATGCCACTCTCCAACAGCCAGCCATTGTAAAAGCAGCAACCTTGGCATCAAGAGAAAGCCAGGCAGCTGGGCGCAGTGGCTCACGCCTGTAATCCTAACACTTTGGGAGGCCGAAGTAGGCAGATCACCCGACGTCATGAGTTCCAGACCAGCCTGGCCAACGTGGTGAAACCCCGTCTCTACTAAAAATACAAAAATTAACTGGGGTGTGGTGGCGGGCGCCTATAATCCCAGCTACCCAGGAGGCTGAGGCAGGAGAATCGCTGAAACCCAGGAGGCAGAGATTGCAGTGAGCTGAGATGGCACCACTACACTCCGGCCTGGGCGACAGAGCGAGACTCCATCTAAAAAAAAAAAAAAAGAAAAGAAAAGAGAAAGCCAAGTAATGTTTTTTAGGCTTTGGATGCTGCTAGTTAGCAAAGGGGTTAATAACTTTATTAATGAGAGCATCTTGAGACTCTGATAGATAAATCTCAGCAGGGAAGTTAGTAATTTGGAATAAAAATAGAGTTTAAAGGAGGGGATAAAAACAGCAAAATATCAAAACCATGACTTCATGAAGACAAAAGTCTACCGGAGATGGTGTCAACCAATAATCAGGTTACAGAGTGGCTCCATTCATGACCTATCTTGTTAGTGGATATAGAAAACATCCAGAGATACGATACCTTAAATACAGTCCTGCTCAAACATTTGTTTTTCTAATTTGTCTTGAATTTATAATACACAACAGTGAACACACTCAGAAGTCTGCCCAGGAAGTCTGGTTTGTAATTCCCAAATTTCAGATTTCAGTCATCATAGAGAGTTGTGCCCATTAAAAACTCCAGGACAAAAGCTTAATTTCAAAGAAGGTATTTTAAATCAAGGGATGCTAAAACAGGCTACCTTAGTTGGGATTTGACCAGTGTCACAAATGTTACAAGGGAGATTCAGGGAGTTCAAGAAGCATTATTTATAATAGCAGAAGGATACAGACACGTTCATTGACAATTTAGGAGAATAACAAGATAAATTAGGATGCATCCATACTATGAAATATTATGCAGGTATTAAAAAGAACTATGTTGATTCTGTATCTGATATGCAAAAAAAGCCAATGATAAGGCAAGTTACAGAACTCCATGTATTATGATCATCCCATATTTCAGATAAAGGAGGGCAGAAAACCTTAAACAATCTATAAGATATTTAACTTCGGTTACCTCTGAGAACTGAAAATGCAGGCAAGAATAGAGATAAAACAATGACTTCAATTTCTACTCCATACCTTCAGTATTGTTTAAAGATTTATCAAGGAGAATTTCTTTTGTAAATATTTGAAACAAGAAATACAAGACAACAACAACAAAGAAAGACTAAAACAAGAACCACATAGCACAGGATGACAAGATTTCTTTTCAAACTTTACTAAATACTGACATACAGACAGAACAGTGCATAGCTGTAAGTGCAACTGTGAGTGATCTCAATGAAGTCTCAGAGTGAGCACATCCACGTAACTGGCATCCTGATGAGGAAAGAGAACGCTTCTTGCTCCTCCAGAAGCCTTGTGCAATCTCATCTGGTCACTACCCTCCAACCAAGAGTAACCATCTACTGACTTTCTATTTACCTATTACTGCTTGCAGGAAGTGTAACAGTAGCCAGTAGCCATTAAATGATAGTCCCTGATCTGCAGTTCTTCAGTTTCCTTCTTAGGCTACAGCCACTAAAGGTGCAACTCATTCTCATCAAGATACAGGAAATCAGCAGGAAGGATTTTTTTTTTTTTTTTTTTTTGAGACAGGGTCTCACTCTGTTGCTCAGGCTAGAGTGCGGTGGTGTGACCATGGCTCACTGCAGCCTCGACCTCCTGGGCTCAAACGATCCTCCTGCCTGGGGAATAGCTGGGGCTACAGGCTTGTGCCATCATGCCCAGCTAATTTTTGTATTTTTTTGTAGAGATGGTGTGTATTAATCTGTCTTCATGCTGCTAATAAAGACATATCCAAGACTGGTAATTTATAAAGGAAAGAGGTTTAATTGACTCACAGTTCAGTACAGCTGGGGAGGCCTCAGGAAACTTACAATCATGGTGGAGGGGGAAGCAAACACGTCCTTCTTCACATGGCAGCAGCAAGAAGTGCCAAACAAAAGTCGGAAAAGCCCCTTATGAAACCATCAGATCTCGTGAGAACTCACTCACTATCATGAGAACAGCAGCATGGGAGTAACGGCCCCCATAATTCCACTACCTCCTACTAGGTTCCTCCCATGACATGTGAGGATTATGGAAACTATAATTCAAGATGAGATTTGGGTGGGGATACAGCCAAACCATATCATGGGGTTTGCCGTGTTTCTCAGGCCGGTCTTGAACTCCTGGGCTCATGCAATCTGTCTGCCTGGGCCTCCCAGAGAGCTGGGATTATAGGCGTGAGCCACTGTGCCCAGCCAACTCCTGACTTTCAACAGCAGTTGGTTTTTAAGCTCATTCTAAACATGAGATTCTATGACGCTTTAAAACAAATGTCTTTCATACCAGGTCTCGGTCCATATTTCTTACAAGGTAAGATCAAAAGCTGAATTCTCATTCCTGATCTGTTTTATGGACAATAGGGGTTTGGGGTAATGAGATCAGAGTCTTCAGAGGGCAAGCTTTAGAGCTGTTTTCAAGCTGACTGCTAGTAGGGGAATGGAATGAGGAACCAGAATTTGAGAGAGTCCAAGTCTAAGAATCATCTATAATTTTGTGAGTTCCACTTATGAAGGAGTCCCCTAGGACATGTGCTTCGTGAAGATTAGGAAATTTTATCTTCATGACAATTCTACATAGCGGGTGTTACTATTATCCCCATTTTAAAGACTGGGAAAGGGAATTTTAGGAAGGTTAAGAAACTGCTTCAAGAACATAGCTGGTGAACAGTTAGGGATCCAGTGACTCTACAATCTGTGCCCCTTCAGAGCAGACCGGATACCTGGGGCTGATGCTTCATCAGGCCAGACACTGGATGATCATTCCCGTCTGCCTACCAAGAGCAGAGTTCTGTGGTAGAGTCCCCATCTCCTTCTGGTGTGACAATTGCTCATAAGCAAAGGGAAAGACACAGCAGGGATCATAATGCAGTTTAGGGAAGAAAAGAGCCCTTCCCTTGGGAGTAGAGCTCAACTTCAGTGGGTTCAGATCACTGGGGCTCTGTTTTCTTTCTTCTTGGACCTAGTTTGACTCAACAACTGCCTTGGTCAGAATTTAAGCCTAGTCCTATCTGCTGGATGCTGTTATCAACACTGAATTCAACCTGGTCCCTACTGCCTACTTGGGTCATGCTAACAACAGCACCTACACATGCACTGCTTCCCGGGACAGACCCACGGCCTACATACTCAGGACATAAACTCCCCAGATCCATAAACGCAGGGCAAGAATGAAGCTTGGCAGTATCCATAGGTGACTTTCTGTAGATCCCAACAAAAAGGTGTGTATGAGGGGGAGGGGGATGACAAGCTTTAGCATAAAAGGACTGACGCACTTAAAATGAACATCCAGCTGGGTGCAGTGGCTCATGTAATCCCAACACTTTCAGAGACTGAGGTGGGAAGATCACTTGAGGTTAGGCGTTTCAGACAACCCTGGTTGACATAGCAAAACCCAGTCTCTAAAAAAAATAATAATAATAATAAATAAGTGCATATCCAAATGTCATCACACTAGCAAGGTTCCTTCCCACCGTAAGGCAACTTATGCTCCCTTATAAGATTATTAAGGTGAGGTTAGGAATGAGGTTGTATTAGACATCAGACAATAAAGATAGCTTGGGCTAGGTACACACAATTTTCCGTCCTGCTTTCTGAATTGTACAGAGAAACGCAATAAGGCTGGATCCATGGGGAATTGCATGCTAGGGGAAGCACATCCATACTAGCACTGCTGTGTTTTCAAAGAGGTCTCTGGTAGGGGTTATAGTTTTATTCAAAGCATTGTATTCCATCTGTAGCCCCAAGTTCTGGTCTAAGGGTTAGAGTATTGGGCTTTATTATTTCTTGAAATGCCTACACCTGAAGTATTTTTAACATGCTAGCAAAATAATTCCTACCCACTGATTCCTCCATACAATCATCTATTTGCACTTCACGGAAATACCCTGTTTTTGTTCCCAGTCTGGGAGCACAGAGTGGTGTAGAACTTAAAGCTGAGTTTTCTGAGTCTTAAACAGCACATTAGGACCCATTTGGAGTTCTTGGGCATTACCTTTTTGGAATGTTAACGGCACAGCAGATGGATTTTTTCTATTTTTTCCTTTCTTTTTAAGCATTCTACTGGACTCCCATACATCAGCACTGTTAGATCTCAGAGCTGCAAACCTGTCCAGGGCACTGCTCTGGCAGAGTTATTTTTGTTAGCTGGCATTCTTTGCAGTAAAGCTCAGAGTTCATTTTTCAGTTTTTTGAGCTGTGACCAGTGTACACAACCACATTACTGGCCTGGGGCCAAGAGAAAATGCACTGACTGATGTGCGGACATGGTAACACCACTGTCTAAGATGCAGATACCTTGACGTGTCTCAGGAAATGGCATCCTTTGGGAGTCCCACAAGGCAGCCTACAGAAAAGCACTTCTTTTGAAATAAAAAAAGAGGTACTTCTCCATCTTCCTGGACAACAGAAAACAGTGTAAACTGGAGGATGAAGGATGGATGTGGGTAAGTCTTAAGTCAGAATTTCCAGACAATGTTCAATGGTTGGCTGAGATTGGCTGTGGTTTCTCACCATAAACACCAGGGTTAAAAACCCAAAGGTGTAGCCAGGGTTAACCATCCCTGCCTTTCCTTCTCAGGTAAGGCCCATTAAAACTCTGATCTCAATTGCAAATACCTCCCAAAATAGTTAAGTCAAAACATTGACTTTCAGTCTGCCATCAGAGTCATTTGCCTTTCTCTGGAAACATGGATAATCCTTGTTGTTTAGATGAAAGAGCTTTACTTTTATCTCCCGTTTATTCCAAAGCCACTATCTCGCTTTGTAAAAGTCAAGTTATGCAGACAGCATGCATAATGCGCTTTCAGTCTTCAACTCTCCATTCCATCTGTGGACCTCCTTCTCGTGTCCATGAATGACATAGAGCCTCAAGGGAAGTTCAACAGAAACAGTTTGTCTTCCTCACACTTTGCCAGCAACCACCCTAAATAGACACAAAGTCTAGGCAAAGCACAGCAAGTGACAGGGTGGCACAGTTTAGCCACATGTCATTCCTCTCTTTCTAAACCAGTGGTTCTCAAACTGCAGTAATCGTAATTACCCCAGGGGACATTTGGTAATGTCTGGGAACATTTTTGGTTGTCACAACTGTGTCAGGGGTGCCACTGGCATCTATTACATCTTAGATATTTTAGGCCAAGAATACTATTTTACATCCTACAATGCACATGACATAACAAAGGCTTATTAAGCCCAAAATGCTGAGGTTGAGATACAATGTTTTGTATTTAGACCAGGGGTGTCCAATCTTTTGGCTTCCCTAGGCCACAATGGAAGAAGAATTGTCTTGGGCTACCATAAAATACACTAACACTAATGATGTGCTTAAAAAAAAAAATCTTATAAGGTATTAAGAAAGTTTACAAATTTGTGTTGGGCCACATTCAAAGCCCTCATGGGCTACATGTGGTCCGTGGGTCACAGGTTGGACAAGCTTGATTTAGACTAAATAGAATATCACTCCTATACCCTTTGTACAGAACGAAGCACATAACACATATCTCAGTGGACAGCAAACATCTACAATTCCATGACAACTGGACTAACACTTCTTACCAGGGCATATTCGAAGTCAATCCTGTCTGGATGGGATGTTCATATCCTGATATTTGCCTACTCACTGCTGAATTTTAAAACGTACAATATTCTTGGATACGAATGTATTTCCCTAATGTATAATGGCACAGTTGTTAGAGCCTTGGGCTATAGAGTCATATGTACTTGGATTTGAATTCTCTCTACTGCTTACTAGCTGAGTGAGCTTGGGCAATGTTATGGTTTGAATTATATCTTCCCAAAAGATTTTGAAGTCCTTATCCTCTGTATACCTATGACTGTCACCTTATTTGGAAAATTTATAAACAGGGTCTTTGCAGATGATCAAATTGAGATGAGGCCATTAGAATGAATCCCAATCCAATATGACTATGTTCTTTAAAAATTAGGGAAATGTGGACACAGAGAAAGACAAGGAGAATGCCACACAAAGATGAAGGCAAGTGATGCATCTACAAAGCCAAGAAATGTCAAAGACTGCCTGCAAACCACCAGAAGCTAAGAGCAAAAGCACAAAAGCGATTCTCTCCCACAGCCCTCAGAAGGAACCAACCCTACAGACATCTTGATCTCAGATGTGGAGCCTCCAGAACTGTAAGACAACAAATATCTGCTGTTCTAAGCTACTTAGCTTGTGATAATTTGTCAAGGCAACCCTAGGAAATAAATACAGGGAACTTCACCTATGTCTCCGTTTTCTGTATCTGAAAAACAGGATTAGATCTAACAAGCACCTAGTTATTGAGGTTGCTATGAAAAGCAGTTGTGATAAAATAAAGCAGAGTGACTAGTCCGTGTTACAAGCTCAACAAACAGTAGCTGTTCTCTCATTAGCATGCCCAGCCTCAATGATTTAAGCCTTATTAGCGATATTTCTGTGATGCCTTTACATTTTTTAACACATTTTGCAATTTTAATCCAAAACATAGAAAACTAAGTATGGTATCATCTTTAAAATGAGTATAATGGTATAATAATAGTCCTATATTAATTACTGCTTTAAATTTTGCAATGCAATGAAAGTGTGGACTCAATTCCACTGATACTTGAAACATAATTGGGCCTTAATTACAATATTAACTACAATAGCAATTTATGATGTGAGTGTATCAGTTCAGAACAACCAGAAGCAGGAAAACTTGAGATATAATTCTACCTGAAAAACTCCTACTCATCATCTTTCAAGATTCAAATTAAGTGCTACCTGCTACATGAATTATTTCCTGATTCCAATGAGCAATCGCTCCCCTGACCCATTTCCCCATGGAAACATGGAAGTGGTGTCTACTTTTTGCTCCCACTAAAGCCTATAATTTCATCTTTATACCTCGTCCATGAACTTATTCAGCAAAATACATGCCTCTCACGTAAGCACTGTATAATGCAAAACCACATCTTTGAATTCCCTGTCACATACTCCCGTACGCTTCATAAATGAAGGAACAATGCAGTTCTTTTAAGACTGCAAAATATAACTCAAAAAAGGTACAAAAACAAAGATTTCCATTTCTGCTTCCATTTCCAAATACCTGGAAGAATTCAAATGTCCCAAAGAGACACATGATTAGGCAGCTGCCTCAACCTCTATTGCTAACTTGCCTCTTGTTCCTTACAGTCTGCTCTGGCAACCAGGTGAAGTCAGGTGACACCCAGAAGAACCACTGACTTTCCTGATTATTTCCCTCTCTATCAAATCACCTGGCCCACGTTTCTATCCCTGGAGGCCCCAACCAGTGTTAGAAAACAGCAAGCTACTCAGACAAATTGATCCTTACAAATGGATCTATAGACACTAACATAACCAGTTATTCCAAACAGGTGACGTACACATTAAAGACCAACTGGAGAGAAGGCCAAATAGAAGAAAGAAACCCATTATTCAAAACAGTAGCTAACAAATAATGAATACCTTGTATATTACTTCAGGCCTACCAGGAGAGTCTGAAGGCAGACAGGCCTTGTCCTCCTATTGGAGCTATAGAAATGTTAGAATTGTCCTGTGAGAGTCCCAAGAATGACTCTGAGTCTAACAATTGGGACTACAATAGCAGCAGCAATCATTGTTGGTCACAAATAGACAAAAAGGGACAGAAGAGGATGGAAGTCAGTACGCTCATAGATGTGCAGTGAGGGTAAGGTTAAGACCGAGAAGGTCCACTAGGAAGCCTTTCAGAGTGATGGGCATGTTCCATATCTTGACCCAGACAGTAGTTACAGGGTGTATACACATGTATAGTCCCTCATGTAGTACCCTTCATATTTGAACATTTCACCGTATGTAGGCTATACCTCAATAGAAAGTTTAAAAAATTTTGCACTGCATGAACAGCTGGGCTTGGCAGAGCTAGGAAGTCAAATTATCTAACCAGCAGTTTGAGCCTCGTAACTCTAAATGCTCTCATGGGGAGAGGAAATCTATATTTTAGTTTACATTTAGATGAGAAAAAATCCCAGAACAGAGGCCATCCCCTGAAGATCCTGCAAAGGTCCCTCAATATAACTTACTGCATGCTCTTTATCCCCAACACCACAGGTGTGAAGCAGATGCCATGCTTATCTTTCTTACAGCAAACAAATTCATCCCTTCAGAATATTAAGCACTAGCTAGATAAGTTTCAAATTTATTAAAAGGAAGGCCAGGCATGATGGCTCATGCCTGTAATCCCACAACTTTGGGAGGCCGAGGTGGGTGGATTATCTGAGGTCAGGAGATGAAGACCAGCCTGGCCAACATGGAGAAACCCCGTCTCTACTAAAAATACAAAAATTAGCCAGGTGTGATGGCGGACGCCTGTAATCCCAGCTACTCGGGAGGCTGAGGCAGGAGAATCACTTGAGCCTGGGAGGTGGAGGTTGCAGTGAGCTGAGATAGCACCACTGCACTCCAGCCTGGGAGACAGAAAGAGACTCCGTCTCCAAAAAAAAAAAAAAAAACCCAAGGCAGTGAAGTTCAAAATACAGATAATCACTAACAAATTACTGATTTCCTTTGGAGAGCAATTACATTTATAAATATAAATACAGTCTATATTAAACCACAAAAAATGACACTCATATATCTGTCAAGAGTTTGATGTATCCTTAGGAAAAAAAAAATCAAAGCCAGAGGAATGCACACTAACACATTCCTTTTGTCAAACACTATTGAAACTGGAAAAGCGAATGGATTCAAGAGACTCTGTGATCTAAGAAATGGTTTAAAAATTAATGCGTGGTGTGGGCTGTGCTTCCTGGCTATTCTGGGTATCTCCGTCTTTTCTATCAACAAAGCGATATGCATATGTATCTGACAAACAGAAAGAAGGCAATTATCAACATGTAAATAAATACAGATAAGGTGTTTTCCTTATGGTTGAAATCTAACAATAAATGGCAGTTTATTTTTTCTTCTTCTCTTTTGTCTTTTTAAAGTCAAGTAACAAGGAAATGAAAGGCTAACCAAATGTACCAGAATGTGAGCAAGAGAGTTCCAAAGACAGGCCATTTCTTTTCTTTCTTTTTTTTTTAAGAGACAGGTTCTCACTGTCACCCAGGCTGGAGTGCAGTGGTACAATCACAGCTCACTGCAGCCTGGAACTCCCAGGCTCAGGTGATCTTCCTGACTCAGCCTCCCAAGTAGCTGGGACCACAGGTGTATGCCACCATGCCTGGTTACATTTTAAATTTTTTTGTAGAGATGCAATCTCAGCTATCTTGCCCAGGCTGGTTTCGAATTCCTGGCCTCCTGATCCTCCTGCCTTGGCTTCCCAAAGCACTGGGATTACAGGCATCAGCCGCTATGCCTGGCCTTGACAGAACAGTGGTCACTGCATTTCTTTAGATCATGTACTACCCAACTGGTACAAGTTCTGTGTAGGTGGGTAAGTTCCCACTATTTTATTTACCGATAAACTACACACCTGGATTACTGTACTAACACAATATATTCATCCTAAAACAATCACAAAAGAAGAAAAAAAGTGATGCGGTGAAAATGAAAGAAACATCATTTTAAAGTATCGTGCTAATCTTTAACATTTGGAAATAATTCACAAAATATATTGCAGATGAGACTTATGGTTAATGAGAGAAGACATATATAAAAGCATATATCAAAAAAGCATAGACCAAACTGTCCTAATAATTTATAATTTCCATGCCCAGCTCCATGTCAGATCTGATTAGATCCTTTTTTTACTCAGAAGATGGGTGACAGAGACCATGTTGATTAAGCCATTTGTCTATTCTGGGAGAGGTGGTTTGGTTACAAAGGTATATTAACACACAGATTTACTTACAATAGGCATATATAAAATGCAGTTGATTGCAATATGTTGAAAGCAATTGAATTTCTGTGTACACTGGTATTCCCATTCTTTCCATTGAATACCTGCCAAATAAGACATGTAACCACCTGGCACACAGACCACATGAGGGCGCCGGCTGCAACATATACATCAAATATTAACACAGCTTTCTTTTAATTGACAAAACATAAAACTAGTATTCTAAAACCTTTCTCTGAGCCACCATGGTTCAACATTTTATATTCCACTTTGGAGAATAATTTTATCACGTATCAGAATTCACCTGGGTAGATTAAAGAAAATGTGGATTCCTAGGAACAAGATTAGAAATTTGAATAGGTCTCAAGGGGGGCCCTGGAATCTGAATTTAATATAATTATTCCAAATTAGGTACTTCATGCCTCCTAAGCTTTGAGAAACTCCAACTACGATAGAAATAAGCTGCAAATGGCTTTTATAAAGACATTTACACATGTTCAAAGCACTCTTTTCTTGCACAGTAGCTCCTCAACCTTGCTGCACAATCATGTCACTGGGAGGCTTGCTGAAAGAGCAGATTTCTGGGTTCCCATGCCAGAAATGCTGATCCAGTGTTCCAGGGCAGTTGTGCCAAATGATGCTCATAGCAACTGACTTTGAAATTAGTAACCAGAGCAATCCAAATTGAAATCAATTTGACAGTGAGACTCTTATTACTTTCTATATTTTGCTCATGGATGACACTCAATAAATATTTGTTGGATTAATGGTCCCAGTGGGAAGAATGGCAGCCTGATGAGGTAGACCAGGAAACCTGGAGACATGCCTCACTTATGCCCGAAAGTGGCTTTCTGTACTCTGTAAGAGACACCTGTTGACTTGACCGCCACTTAGTAACCAACTTCTGATTTCCTTTGGATAACAATTCTTTTCCTTCCCTTAGAAGAAAAGCTTCCTATAGAACCTTGGAGTACAGGGATGGAAATGTGATCCATTTAAACAAAGTCGGAGTATTAATAGAGAACTTTCCGGAAATATTTAGAAAGGTATTCTCTTTTCCATTGAATCTGAACCTAGAGGGATGTAGGATGGAGCTGTTTTATGTAACCCCAAGAAGACAGCTTGCTTGGGAATGAAGGTCATCCAGGAAAACAAGAGCTCACTAGAAAAACAGATTCCTGATACCTTGTCTTTATGGCTAGAAACCAATGATACCTCTGGACTTTGCAGTTATGTTAGTCACTAAATTCTCGCATTTTTCTTCAGCTAGATTGGGATAGATTAGATAGTTTACAACCAAAACAATACAATGAACAAAACTGTACCAAGCACTTGATATCCCTGTTTCTCAACTTCCTTATTTAAAAAACATGGCCACTCGGCCATCTCTCAAGCAACTTTCAAATCTAGACAGTCAAGTGTCACTTAACAACAGGGATATGTTCTGAGAAGTGCACTGTTAGGCGATTTCATTGTTGCTGAGACATCAGAGTGTACTTACATAAACCTAGATGCTATAGCCTGCTATACACCTTGGCTATGTGGTATAGCCTACTGCTCCTAGGCTACAAATCTGTAAAACTATATGACTGTATTGAATACTGTAGGCAACTGTAACATGATGGTAAGTATTTCGGTATCTAAACATATCTAGACAGAACAGGTACAGTAAAAATACAGTAATATAATCTTCTGAAACCACTGTCATATATGTGATCCACTGTTCACCAAAACATTGTTATGTGGTGTGTAACTGTATTTCTATTATTCTCCACACCAGTCAAGAGTCTCTTTATCCTATTTTCTTTCATATAATGGATTGACAGTATTGTTTTACCTATTGCACCTCTTTTAACAATTTCTCTACTCAGAGACACTATCCTTTTTCTGATACTGCTAACATCCACTAAAATATTCAACAAGCTTGATTTTCCAGTCCACTGGTAGCTTTAAGAATTTCCTTGGTGTCACTTTAATCATACATTCAATTATTTCTAATATTTCTCCAATTTAACACCATTTTCTGATGTTTTTCAAAGTCCAGCAAAAACAGCGAAGTATGAGAAAGTCTATAGAAAGCCACGTGAAAATTACTTCCTAACACTACTTTATTTCAACCAAGCAGTTTTAGTGTCCTTCAGAATGTAGCTCAACAGCTCAGTAATATCTTCCTTCCCTACTCTGAATTCCCGTTGACCTACCACGCAGGGTGAGTACTGCACAACTCGTAAGATATTATACATGTCTAAGTTTCCCCAGAAATGTTCCCATCAACATATTATGGTATTTGAACCTATGCAAGTTCAAAAACAAATTACCACCCAGCATCTTTTGCGACTTATCTAGCCATTCCACTCCAGTTGATGATACTGGGTGCAAGACAATGAAAATCCTATCCACCACTTGGAAAGTTACCGAGTAAAAGATGCATTTGATTACATGAAACAGCGAGCATCATTCAAAGCAAACTTCCATTATATGCACAATGCAAATGAAATATTTCAAATGGGAAAGACATTTTTAACAGAATAAGATTTTCAAAATTACTTCTGAATAAATCCTTCTCTACCCAGTATACCAAATGGCGAAACATCTCACTAACTTATTAGAAAATGGAGACTCCTAGAAACTAAAACCCGTTTTACCAGTGAAAAGTGGCATGCATAATCTGTGGTATAACCTTAAAACAGTGAACATGCTGCTCGCATTACACAGATCTTAAGTGGACAGGGAATAGCTTGAGTACTGAGTCAGCTGAAGGATACAAAAGAGGGACGATGAGATACGTTTCTCCCCGGCTTCTGTTTTTTTTTTTGTTTTGTTTTGTTTTTACTTTTTAGGATCTTCACCTTCTTACTCCATTTCAAGGTTATCAACTTCAAAGTTGTGTCAAAGTCATTTCTTCTATTTTATATTTCCTGACTCCATTCGCAAAATATTCAGTTACATATTGTATCCCTTTTGAAAAGGTCAGAGAAACAGGCAGCAGTCTACTTGTTCAAGCTTATCTCAAACTCCCTTTACTCAGCGCCTTTAATTAAATGAAAGTTATGTGCCTCCACTGGACCAATTTTTGAATTATACATATTCTCCAGCTTTGTTCCTCGCAGGAGGGGAAAAAGAATATGTTCACCTTTACAGATCAAATGAAATGTGATGACACAGCAATTATGTAATGCAGGAAACTTGTATGATTCTAGATAGAGAATAAAGGACCACTAGGATTTTCTGAAGACAATAGTCTGCTAATAGCACCATTTACTCCAATCTCCGTATACAAGTGTTCATGGGGACTCCCAGGCACTGAAAACAACTGGGAGATAGATTAAAAAGGTAGTAAGAAGAGATAAGTTTATATAAAAAAGGTTGCCCTTCTGGTGGATAACCCTACAATGTTTTCCTACATCCTGATTTTACAAGAGGTAAAGGTACACATAGCGATTGCAGTTTTCCACTGCCCAGACAGAAGGATTTACTTTCTATCCATTTTGTCTATACTTAGAGGTCACAAAATACCTATCTTGGGAGAAATAAGGATATACTCTAAACTGTTCTGTATTTTCTTCCACCCCAAAGACTCAACAGCAAGTAGGAGGAAAGTTATAAACTGTCAAGCAAGCAGGTTACAATACCCATTATCCACCTGGACCTGTTTTTGGCTTGTGTAGACACTGCCTCATGTGGATATATTTTCTCTAATTCTAGGAAAGAGCAACATTCATTACCTCCTTGTTTTCTTTCTTCTTTTTTTAAGTGGGCTTTTTATTATCAGTACAAAATTCATCCTCTCTTCTCCATAAAACAGCATTATTATGTTAACATGTTCTATTAAATACGAAACACTCAGAGGTAGCTTGCAGAGGTAATTGTCTGACTTTCAGCAGGTTTCCAAGAAAAGCCAGTTTAGCTTCCCAATATGAAATATTGTAATTAATGGAGCGCCAGGTTACTAATGCACATTAAAAAAATATGAGTGAAATTAGCTATGCATCCCACTGTTTTAACTGCAGACTGGAGCTAAATAACTGTGCTGGCTTTTTTGCGATCCTGTAAATGTAAACCTGAAATCTGTTTTTAAAAGGCTGGGGGAGGGAATGGTAAGGAAAGGAAGAGAAAAGCTGATTGCATTTATGAACTCAAAGGCCCCTGCTGGAATGATTTATATCTAGGACGAAGGGGTCCTACCATCCTGAGGCATGTACTATCTCTGAGGAGCTCAGCATTGACATCCAGCATTAAATGAGAGGGGAAAATGCGTATTACATAAGGTGACAGCTGAATGGGTTAGAGAACTTACATAAAACTTGAACTTCATGCAAGTCTGTAACAGTGAGCAAGGCATTCCAGGATACAATTTAAATAATAGGAAGCTGGGGCTGGGCATGGTGGCTCACGCCTGTAATCCTAGCACTTTGGGAGGCTGGGGAGGGCAGATCACCTGAGGTCAGGAGATCGACACTAACCTGGCCAACATGGCGAAACCCCATCTCTACTAAAAATACAAAAAAATTAGCCAGGCGTGGTGGTTCACGCTTGTGGTCTCAGCTACTTGGGAAGCTGAAGCATGAGAATTGCTTGAACCCGGGAGGCGGAGGTTGCAGCGAGCTGAGATCATGCCACTGCACTCCAGCCTGGGCGATAGAGCAAGACTCCATCTCAATAAAAATAAATAAATAAATAAATAAATAATAGGAAGCTCAGCAAGTGAAACAAAGAATCCAAAAAATCCCTGCATTCTAGAAGCTACTTTCAAATACAGCATAAGGCAAGAATATTGAAGTAAATGGGGTTATATCACACAGCATGTTTTAACCAGAAAGACTATGATTGAAATTTGAAATGAAGCTTGCAAACTTAGAAAATGTGGGTTCTAATTCTGGGTTCCACTTATTGCTCTGCACTAATACCCATGGGCAAATTACCCTCTCTAAGCCCCACTTGTATCTTCCATAATACAGGATGGTAATATTACCTGCTTAGCACATTGAGAGAACGGCATAATGTTCATAATTAGCTCAGTGCACAGTCTTGCATCCTGTAAGTGCCCCATAAATGGTAGTAGTTGTTACTAGCATACTTTTCTCCACGCATACTGCAGGTCTAAAACATCTTTCCACATAACAACAGTCAAAACAATCCAGATAAATAACAAACATCTACCTTTAAACTTAAGGATGTCTTCTCAAAGGCTTTTTCAATACAAAAATCTTTGTTTGGGACTAGTTCAAAGAGTAGGTGATACATGAATTCTTAAAGTCTGATTTAAAAAAAAAATCAGCACCTAATGATGAGAGACAGTAAGTCCCCCAGACTAAATGCAGGAAAGAAAGACTTTGAAATAAAATGAAGGCAGCAAGCATGCCAATGATGACTAATTGGTGGTGGCTGCTTGGCTCCCTTCTTTGAGAAGGATTAAGAAGCCCTATCAGACTTGGGAAAAAATTCTATGATCAGTTAGTGAGGTTTGGCACAGGCTCAGGAAGTGTATACATAAGGTACTTGTTATTCCTCCATTATATACTGCTATTGACCTCTCTAAAGAAAGAAAAGGTCAATGAAAGATAGACAGTCACACAGAAGGGAGAAAAACAGAAGAAATCCTGGAGGGTCCATCCCCACACACGTAACTTCAAAGCATGAATGGATGGAGTGGATGAGAAAATGCAAGGATACGCTCTGGGGGAAATGAACTGATACCACCAATCAAATCATCAACATCATGCCATTTCAGTGTTCCTCCAATTCCATTCTTGCCTAACAGGTTATAACTGGCCTTCTGTGGAAGATGTATAGTGGGGAGAGGGTGCCCTAGTAAGGTAACTAGAGCATCCCAAAGTTTGACAGTCACAGCCCTCACATAACAACCAAGAGAGGGGAATGGTGCTTTGTGCGACCACCTCACAGGGGGAAGAGAAGGGACAGAACACATCTTGGAGAGATCAACCACCTCCTATAGATGAATCTAGATCATGATGCCCCTGCTGGAGCACTGTCATTGAGACATCCTGGCTGAATGGTCACTGGGTTCTGTCTGGCCCTATCACTTTGCCTCACCTTTGCCCATGCAAAGATAACTAGTCTCACTTCAAATATGTTTATGAATTAATGCAAAGCTTGCATTACAAAAGATAAAGCTTGAGTGCCATTTTCAATGGCATACCATCAGAATTAGTGGGAAGGGGATGCTCAGAACCTTGTGTTCAGGTCATGACCTGTTAAGAGAAGACCTAACACATTTTATTCAAGGTAATGACTGGCACTGGTGACTGTTACCATTCTATGTATATTAAACTATTTTAACAAATTACTAAGGACATTTGACAGGTACAGAAAACAGCAGCATTGAGGGCAATAAGATCTACTTCCCTGTGCCATTTATAAGCTTCTGATTTGCAGAGATTTAAATCTAAGAGCTGGACAAAATGAGGTTTGACTCTACACAGTTCATGTCTGTTAAAGAACTAAAAGGGGAAAAAATGTACAGCGAGGAGAAAACTGCATTTGTTTCCTTCTCTGTTTCTTGGCTAAGGGCGGTACAGCTAACTCGACACCAGCTTTGTAGCCTCCAAGTGGGTAAATTTAAATTTCCTTCAGATAAATGTTTTCCCAAATGAGAAAATGCTATTTTTAATGAAACCAAATAGCCTTAATTGGTTGTGATGGGAAGTAAACTCAGAGATAAACACTGCATAAATAATTCAAGGCTTTCCATCTGGGGAAACTTCTTCCTGAATTGAACAGCGAATATTCAACCTAAGACGGTTTGCATCATCTGAAAAGCAACAATGGACATCTAAGCTACCTTTCAATTGCAAAGCTAAGACAAGGTAGCATTCTGAGACAACTACTATGAGTTTCATGAAATGGCTGCCCTCACCCCACACCAACACCCCTTCCCCATTCTTACAATGAATGCAAATTAAAACACTCATCCGGGTCACACTCTTTTGTCCTCTCCTCCACCACAATGCTATTTAATTTAAAATAATTACTATGCTCAGTCTTGATTAAAAGGATGGGTAAGGAATGCTCCCAAGTTTCCAGGACATACATAATAAAATCCATCAAGTATTAAGGGCTATAATAAACATACAGGACAAAGTAAATAAGAATACAGAAGGGTAATTAATTCCAATGGGTGAAAAGAGGAAGCTTAATGGAAGAGCTGGCATTTGGGCTGGGCAATGACGTATCTGAGATTAGAAGGATATTAATAATAATGACAATATGGCTGCACAATATGTTATTGATTATTTTTATTTTTATTAATAGCCACAGCTAAGATTTCAGGAGTAGTTACTGTGTGTATTAAATGCTTTAAATACAATAGCTCATTTAATCTTAAAATAATCTCATGAGGTAAGCATTCCTTAGCCATTTTTTTTCCTTTTTTTTTTGAGATACAGTCTGGCTCTGTCACCCAGGCTGGAGTGCAGTGGCATGATCTCAGCTAACTGCAACCTCTGTCTCCTGGGTTCAAGTGATTCTCCTGCCTCAGCCTCCTGAGTAGCTGGGACTACAGGCATGTGCCACCATGCCCGGCTAATTTTTGTATTTTTAGTAGAGACGGGGTTTCACCATATTGGTCAGGCTTGTCTTGAACTTCTGACCTCAGATGATCCGCCCGCCTCAGCCTCCCAAAGTGCTGGGATTACAGGCGTGAGCCACCACACCCGGCCAAGAGCCATTTTCAAAATAGAGAAACTGAGCAGAGAGAGGTTAAGTGACTTGCTCAGTAGTGCTCAGTTAGTAAAGGCCAAGGCTAAGAAGCGGCACTCTTCATCAGATTCCTGCACTCCAGCCTCTGGCTAATGCCAAGCATTTGAGATTGTGGCAGTATACAGGAAAGGTTCTGAGAAGAAGTTAAGAGAGAGTGTTCATGGCTCCAAAGAGGGTGCTGACTCCATTATCATTGGGAGCAAAAATTATCCTCCAAATACCCTACAGAGAAAATTGAAAATTTTCACCACAGTCTTTCATGTTGCTTCTAGCTCCCTGTACATGCCAACTATCTGCACTAGGCCCCTATGATATTGATAAGCTGTCCTGTTTTCTAATGGATTTCAAAACTTTCTTCCACCGACAACTTTGTTTCTTCATTCACGTATTTTCTTCCGAATTGACTAGATTATACCACCCCTTAGACAAGGGTTGTGTTTTCTACTGTTTAGGAACTCAAGAGTCTATCCTTTAACAATCATAAACCTGGCAGAAGTAAAAACAAGCAAACAAACAAACAAACCTTAAATTCACGACCAAAGCTTGTTCTTCTATACCTAAAACCAAGATGACCTAACTTCGAAGTATATGATCTATTTCTCTGAATTGCCGCATATTCAACAAAGAGCCAAAAGAGACCTTTTGCAACAGAGGATATTTTATCTGCCCTTTTAAAATAAAAATATTGCCTTCTTATTATCTTTGTTTATTCTCTTATGAGAAGGGCTCTAAACTGATCGCATAAAGGTAAAAAGAATTCTAATTGCATTATCCCAAGGCAGATATAAAAATTCTTTAATAAAATAAACATGACCACATTAAAATCATTCTGAAATAGGCAGAAAAGTCATTTAGTGATAATTGAATGTTGATTTAAAAAGTCTTGATGTGTGCAGCTGGAAAGAGAAAATAGGATATGAAAATAAACAAAATTATGTTTTAGAGAACAAAGCACTAAAGGTGTATCTATAGAGTTGATTCTACAAGATAAATATAGAAACCTAGTGGAAAAACATATTGGGCTTCTTTGTATTTGTTGAGATAATTTTATGTGATCGAATTAAACAGCACAGGAAAATGAGTTTTGCCTTTCTCATGCCTTCTGTCTGTTAAAAATGAAAATTTTAAACTGATGAACTTACCCCAACTTAGCCCAATAATCTTGACACGTCACTTAATAAAAAAAATTGTACCCTAAAGAGTACCTTCCAGTTGGAAATTTATTTTTACTACGTGTGCTTAATTGTACGTAAGTAAAAGATTTGACCCTTTTTAAGATGTGGGTCAAAGGATAAAGGTCACAACCCTAATTCCTATCCTGTGCTCCTTGATGTGTTTCTAGGACACAAACATGACATGAATTCAATGAATTCATTCAAGCAGGGAATTAATCTTTACTGAACACCCAAATGCTGAGCACACAGGGATTCGTAGGGCCTAAAGGGTTAGCATCTCAAAGTCTCACAAGAAAGACAACTGAGAAAGCAAGCACTTACAGCACAGAATTATAGAAGCTATGAAAGGAGAAGCTGCCACAGGAACACCTAGTAGAGGAACTGGAGTGGAGGTTGGAGGAGACCCTGAAGCCTTCTAGGATGAAGCAGCTAAGCTGAGACCCAAAGGAAAAGAGACAATATCAAATGGTCATGCAGGGTGGCGGTGCGGGAGGAAGAAAATTTCAGGCAAAAGAACACCATGCTTAAAAATTCATGATACAGAAAGAAAAGGTGAGACCTGGAATCAGAGATGAGTAATACCTGAAATAAGTCTGTCAGAAGATCAGAAAATCTAAATTCAGAAGGGGTTTTGGCATAACAAAGACACGCTGTAGAAATATCTGGTCTTTAAAATATGGACACTGGGACACCCAGGGACTTACTCCAAAGGCACAGGGTCACTTGGATCCTACTGGTGAAGCCCAGGTTTATTCCATACCTGTCGCTGGGCATGGCTTTATGACAGGCCAGGGCAAGGCTGGAAATACTACTGTTCACATCTCTGACTCCATAACTGGTGTGGAAGCTCCAGGTTATACTTGTGCATCTCTGAGCTTGCCCCAAATCCTAGAGCCCCAGAAGCAACTGGCGTGCCAGCAGTGCAAGATTTTCTGTGACCCTCTGAGAGGCAACATGCAAAGCAGTTAAGAGGTGAGGCAGGTCTGGGTTCTGACCTCACTTCCCCATTCCCTGGGTATAATCCTGGGTAAACTAAAGCCTGGGTGTTTAACGGATGCTTAATCATTCATTAAACAAGGATGATTATGATGCAGAATTAAGAGGCGATGAAGGTTAAATGAGATAATGCAGGCACAGCACTCAGCACTGTGTGAGTCACATGGTCATAGTCAGTACAAGGAAGCCACCAGCATTATAGTCACTATCATCACCACAACCACCCCCATCACCATCATCAAAGTCCATATCTGCACCATCATCACTATGACTGTCATCTCCATCACCACCATCACAATGATCATTACCACCGTCATATCTCGGTATATGACATCTAATAGAAGATTTTGCAGGTGGAAATGAGAAGTTCCTTTTAGTCACCACTTGAATCCTGTATAATCTCCCACAATATCAGATGTGGAAGGGGGCAGGGGTTGTGAAGAGGCCAAAAGGTGATCTCTAAGCACAATGGGAGAAATCTAAAATTCAGAATTAGGAGTGGAAGGTTGTATGTGAAGGCAGAGGTTCGGCAGAATTTCCTCACATTACAAAAAAGGAGACATTCAAGGACATGCTCAATCCTTTGTTAATTTCAGACTAAAAGTCTTGTCTTGTGTGTTTCTAGAATTCTTGGATGGTATCATCTCAACCTTTTGACAACAATCTGCTCACCCATGAAAAAAGATGCCAGTATTCTTCAAGTACTACGAGGTAAGAAACAACGTTCTGTCTCCTGGATTTATCAAATTTGGCATCCGAAAAGGCTTCTAAGTCTCCAAGTCAATCCTTCTCTGAAGCATGGCTGCAAAGAATTTACTCTGCTAGTCAATTACACACACACAAAATAGAGTAAATGTAAATGTTCAATGAACACTGAATATATTGTAAGTGCCGAGAATAGAAAACTTGAGTATGTATCAACTCCTTTAATTCTCACAACCACCACAAGCATCAGGTATTACTACCCACATTTTACAGAGGAAGAGACAGAGACACTGAATGGTGAAGTCTTGACTCAGATTCACAAAGAAAAGTGGGCAGAGCCAGGACTCAAAGTTTGGTCTGTTCATCTGCATCCCAGGGGCTTGACCTCTATGTCTGTCTCCCATGTTGCCTCCAGTGCATAGCCTAAGTCAGTCACCCAAAGATGGCAAAACTGCTGAAACTCCTCTATATATGCAGAGGCCACACCCAGGCTCAAAATAGAAATCAAAGTGTGTTCACAGCTAGCCCCGATGTCCCTGACCAGGCTCTGACAAGCTCCTATACTCCGGTGCTCTATTTTCCACTTAAAAGCTGGACTCGGCTGGGCACGGTGGCTCACACCTGTAATCCAAGCACTCTGGAAGGCCAAGGCGGACGGATCATGAGGTCAACATCCTGGCCAACATGTTGAAATCCCAACTCTACTGAAAATACAAAAAATTAGCTGGGCGTGGTGGCGCATGCCTGTAGTACCAGCTACGTGGGAGGCTGAGGCAGGAGAATCGCTTGAACCCTGGAGGTGGAGGCTGTAGTGAGCTGAGATTGCACCACTGCACTCCAGTCTGGTAACAGAGTAAGACTCTGTCTTAAAAAATAAAACTGGACTCACGTGCAACTTCGAATAAACTCTTTGAAGACAGTCGAAATTTTCTGTACTGTCTTAGAGAGCTTCAGTGGAACACAACATTACATGTCTTCATCATTACCCACAGCACATTTTCCCATAGGTGCTCACTGCCAGATAAGTACATTTCAAGTGTGCCTTTGTTACTGGCATCTTACAAGATGTTAAAACTGATATTTGGGCAGAAATTGTCTCCAATTTGTGAAACTTGGAATGTACTTTGGTATGTGAAATATAAATATGCTTAGAAAATGAAAATGCTTTCTTCTTATGTTCATTAGGAGGAGTCTTTCAAAATTTAGAGGCAACGCTCATGCTATATTTTATACACAGATGCAGGACGCAGCTATAAAAGCAACATTTTAAATATTAAAGACTTAGAGCTGGTTGTCGGCTGGAAAAGTAACTACCTATAAAAAATACTTAACACTGAAAACCATCAGAAACTAACAATTTCTTATTAAATCTATTTAATGTCAAGAATGTCTCACTAAGTGGGATAAGTTTTTAAAATATTTAACAGAGAGTCACTTGGAGGCTGAGAAGATATTTTTTATTAAACATACTTAATGATTAGCACTGCTCTGTGGCTGGGGGAAAAAAGGCAAGTGCTGTAACTGTTACAAAGCAAAGGCGCCAAGTGTTTACAGCTGTGCTGGCAACGGACAGGAATCTTTATAAAGCGTATTTAAGGCTCACCAGCTGCAGGAGTCGCTACATCGCTAATCACCCCAAATGCATTCTTAAATCAAATTTAAAACACGGTCATATTTGTTTAAATGATCTATCTATGAAATTAACTTCTCGGGATGGTAAACAATAGTTCTGTACATAGACTCCCTTCAGATCTACCAATAATTGAGAACTGAAGTTCATATTTCTGTACAAGCCCATGACTGGCCTTGAGAGAAGAAAAATGTAGAATAAACACCCATCACAATATTTGGAAAACATTCTGTGCTTTCGTGTAGTAATTACTCATCTTGTTTCCACAGTTTTATTAGAAAAAAAGATATTTTTTCCCCCTGTTGCATGAAAACACTTCTTACCAGAGATGGTAAGGACTTCCCAGAAATTTCTTACTAGCTTAAAAAAATTTTTTTTAACTTAAGTTGTATATACGTGTTAGAAGAGTAGACATACAACACTTCTCTTTAAAAAAAAAAACAAAAACAAAACCAAAAAAAAAAACCATAACTCTTGGCTAGGGGTGGTGGCTCACGCTTATAATCCTAGCACTTTGGGAGGCCAAGGCAGGCAGATCACTTAACGTCAGGAGTTCAAGAGCAGCCTAGCCAACACAGTGAAACCCCGTCCCTACTAAAAATACAAAAATTAGTCAGGCATGGTGGCATGTGCCTGTAGTTCCAGCTACTCAGGAGGCTGAAGCAAGAGAATTGCCTGAACCTGGGAGGCGGAAGTTGCAGTGAACTGAGATCATGCCACTGCACTTCAGCCTGGGTAACAGAGCAACACTCTGTCTCAAAAAATAAATCTCTCTCCGATCAGGAAAAATAACTAATGAGTACTAGGCTTAATACCTGGGTGACTAAATATACAACAGACTACCATGATCCAAGTTTAGCTATATAACAAGCCTGCACATGTACTCCTGAAGTTAAAATAAATTAAAAAATAGAGGAAGTTGGAAAAAAAAAATCTCTCTATATATATCTCCATATATGTACATAGGCTCATTTGGGTGGGCTGTAACAACTGCGGTCATTAAGAAACAAAGCATGGCCGGGCAAGGTGTCTGACACCTGTAATCCCAGCACTTTGGAAGGCCAAGTCAGGAAGATTACTTCAGCCCAGGAGTCAAGACCAGCCTAGGCAACATGCCAAAACCCTCTCTCTACAAAAATATAAAAATTAGCTGAGTGTGGTGGCATGGGCCTATGGCCCCAGCTACTGGAGAGTCTGAGGTGGGAGGATAGCTTGAGCCTGGGAGGTTGAGGCGGCAGTGAGCCAAGATTACACCACTGCACTCCAACCTGGGTGACAGAGCAAGACCCTGTCTCCAAAAAAATAAAAATAAAAATAAAGAAAAAAGCATAACTATTCATTAGATAAGCAATGATATGCTTAATCGAATGCTCTGCAAAGACCACACCAGGAGCTACAAACTCTCATTTTACTATGATTTTCCAACTTTGAAGGTGGGCCTGCATTACCAACTTAGGGAGAGATTGTGCAAACAAAAAGAACAAAAATTAGTTTCCTGATAAAAATTACACATCTTGGGATCAATCATTTCATTTAATTTCCAAAACCCTAGACCAAACTAGTTTTATCCCTATTTAGTAGGTCAGAAAATAGGCAAAGAAAGGTTAAGTAACTTGTCCAAATAATAGAGCTGGGACATGAACCAGCTCTGGCCTATTTGACTTGACACTCCTTCTGGATGTCCTTCCAACATATCAAGGCTCAGTGTTAAGGACTAAATGTTTGCCCACCCCTACTCCCCTGAAATTCGTAGATTGAAGCCCTACTTCTCAGTGTGATGATATTTGAAGATGAGACCTTTGGGAAGTAATTAGGGTTAGATGAGGTCATGACAGTGGGGCCCTCATGATGGGATTAGCACCTTTATAAGAAGAGACAGCAAAGAACTTGCTGTCTCCCCAGGAATGCACAAATAAGAGGCGAGACCTAATGAAACCTTGCCTGCATTTTGACCTGGGCCTTTCCAGCCCTCACCTCAGAACTGAGAAATTAATTTCTTATTTAAGCCATCTAGTCTACAGTATGTTGTCATGGCAGTAGGAGCAGATTAATACACTCAGCCACAGCCAAACAGTTCCTAGATGGATTTGAAATTTGACTATTGATGAAGAGTTGGATTTTGGCACACAAGAGTAGGTCCATGTAACCTGAACATCTGGACCAGAAGTTCTCAAATGGAGACGATTTTGCCCCCCCAAGGGATATTTGCTAATGCCTGCAGATATTCCAATTGTCACAACTTATAGGGGGCTGCTACCTGCTACTGGCATCTGTTGGCTAGAGGTCCGGGATGCTGCTAAACATCCTATAATGCAAAGAACACAGGGGCAGGGAGAGGTAGATTAAAGGTAAGAAATGAGGATTGGAGACATCAATTGAGACAATCAGGAAGTATGACATCAAGAGACAAGTTCCACCAACCTGGTGATCTGGCACCATGTCAATAAAAATAACTTGTTTCCATATGAGCAAATGTATCCTTATATGACCTATGGGGCCAGCCACCCTAACCCTATCACTGAACTAGCTGTGTGTGCTGGGCATCAGTAAGTTAACCACTCCTAGCTCCAGGTTCCAAATCTGTAAACTAGGGATAAAATGAGTACTTCTCTGATAAAGCCATTGGGAGATTAGATAATGCAAGCAAAGATTATTATCATTAAATAATTACTATTAGTGGCTTTTGTACATCAGGGAACACTGTGTGTGTGTGTGTGTGTGTGTGTGCGTGCGCGCGCGCACGTGCAGCACTGAGGGAGGTAGGGAAGTGGTGGCAAACGAGCCTGAGTTTTCTGAGTGCAGAGCTGTGCACAGATGTGTCATCCCACAGCCACAACAAAGAGGAATGGAGTGTGCCCTGGAGGGCCCGATGATTTGCTCATGGCCATTTAATCAGAGGATGGTACGAATTACCTAGCATTTGTCTTCTAGCTTGTTTTGAAGCACATTACCTTAGCTATGGCTTTTTTTGCTGTTTATTTACACTGCTTCCTTTTGGACCAAAATCTCAATAAAATTGCACTAGGGACATTTTTGTCTTTTTCCTTCCCAAGAAGTTGCATATCTAAGTGTACCATTAGAACTGATTCAGGTCAGTGAATCATACTAAACACCAATAAATGTGAGGCAAAAGCATGCCTAAAGCTAACACCCTTGACTTGTTTAACTCTTGAGTGGATTTCATGACAAACCATAAGCATCACACACAAATGTCACATTCTGCACTCTCTCATCCAATTCTCATTACAGTGTGGAGTGGCAGGAGAGGTGGCCACTGCTCCCAAATAATGCCAGGACTTGGACAGAAGAAAAGAGGATTCAGAAGCTGGGAAGAAAAAGAGGAATGCATTTTCAGTTTGCAATAACCCAGGACTTCATATTCTTCAATATGGATTTCTTTTTTATCACATCATCTGGAATTCCTTATGCAGTTCTGAGATATTCCAAACCAGAGTCACCTCCTTCAAGGCCTATTAAGGCCTATTAAGCTGTAACCCACAACCCCCAACAAAACTCTGGCTCAGCTTATTTCCCTTAACCTATGCTGTATTTTTCCAAAGTACTTCTCACCTTCTAACATATGCAATTATTTATGATGTTTTTGTATCTGTCTACCCCTTGCTAGAATAGAAGCTCCACAGTGGCAGGATTTTTTTTTTTTTTTTTGGTCACTGACACATTCCAAATGCACAGAGCACTGTCTGGCACATAGAAAGCACTTGGTAATATGTTGAATACATCCCTGAATTAATGCGACATCAATTCTTCACCCATAAAACCTACAGTTAAAAATTAACAGTGCTCCCACCAATTGCTGGACATAGGCCTACAACCATGTAAGGCTTAGGTATTATCCAGCATCTGGGAGAACAGCTCCTCTCAACAAAGACTGCATTTAAAACAAGGAAATTGTGCATTGGATGCACTCGCCAACTTTCCACCTAGAAGCTACAGCTCCTCCATTAGAGAATGATAAATGTCACTGTCATAATCAGAAATTTTCCGTGGTTTCCAATGTGCTTGCTTTTATGCTGAAAGCCAAAGCATTAATAAAGCAATTGAAGGAGTAGGATTATAAGTCTATGAATGTCAGTGGCAAGGTTTCACATATGTCACTTTGCAATAATAAAGGACTTCAGAGACAGGGCTAGGGACTGAGCTGAACAGGAATACTTGTATTTCTTAAATAGGAGATAGTGAAGACAGGACCAAAAGCAAATAAATGAGAAAAATGAAGGCAAATTCAATTAATCATTTCATCTACTGACACTTTAATGCATTATTGTTAGAACTACTCTGAAATGTCCCGGAAGATTATTCACACCTTCTCACCCCAACCCACCCCATTCATTTTTCAGGGCAAGAAAGTTGAACTGCAACCTTTCTGATTGGCTTTTACATTTGACAGTGCTATTCCCATTTCCAGGTGATGCTGAGGTTTTTGAAATATCAGCCCTGCCTGATGACCATGAATTCATGTTACTTTCTTCTAGCTCTGGCTTTTACTTGGGGAAGAGAAAATGGTCTCCAAATTCAGAGTCTGAAAACAGTGCCATTTTCAAGCCCCAAACAGAGACTCGGTGTTCAGATTTTAACTTTAAATTTACTGGAGGGTTTTGCCATTCCCTGATCTAGCAGAGCTAACTTGCTCAGAGGCCTGGAGGTCTGTCTTGGTGGAGTCCCCACTGTAGGACTCCTGTCCCGCCTTGGAACGTTTAATATTCCCATCCATCACCTGAATCAATACGGTGCAGTCCTCCTCCCCAAGAAGGAGCCACGGACAGGGATGGCCACATAGACTAAGTTAATTTAAAAGTAATAGAGTGAGATTGCTCCCATTACATTTATTGAACCAGCACCTCCAGCAGCTGGCTGCGGGGGTGGCCAAGTATACTGTGGAGAAAGATACAGAAAACTCATCAAAGCCATGGCTTTGATTTTATTTATTTTTTAATCATTCATCCTTGTCCGCTGCCAGCACGGACATTTAAAAAATTTCTTTTGAGTGGAGCGATGCTGACTTGGTACCGTTGTAATGCCTTTATCACCTGACTATACAAGTTTCCATCAGAACAGAGAAATGTATACCAGCTGGTAAGAATTTTAATGGATATCTACCTCTAAGTGTAACTGACGAACTAGGAAGACTACAAGAGAGAAGAGTTTGAAAGACATTCTACCAACAGACTCACACATGGCTCTGAGCAGCTTGCTGCCTTTCCAAGAGACCGCACAATCAGACCTCACGCAAGTTCTGAACTGCATCAACACCACTCACTGGACTTACTAGCTGAGTGACCCAAGGCTGGTAGCCTCACCTCTTTGTACTTCAGTTTCCTGACATGATGTGTATGAAAATAATACCAACACCGCAGGTTTCCAGTGAGAATTAAAATACAGTTGACCCTTTAATAACATGAGTTTGAACTGCTAGGGTTTGCTTTTTCCAAACAAATGCAGATTGAAAATAAAGTATTCTCAGGATGCAAAACCCATGTATATGAAGGACTGACTCTTTGTATACTTGGGTTCCACAGGGCTGACTTTGAACTTGAGTATGTGAGCATTTTGGTATATGCGGGGGTTGCAGAACCAATCCCCTGTATTAGCTTGTATTATCATTTTCTCCATAAGGATCATCAGCTGGCCGGGCTCAGTGGCTCATGCCTGTAATCCCAGCAATTTGGAAGGCCGAGGCAGGAGGATTATCTGAGGTCAGGTGTTCAAGACCAGCCTGGCCAACACGGTGAAATCCCGTCTCTACCAAAAATACAAAAATTAGCTGGGCATTAGCGGGCGCCTGTAGTCCCAGCTCAGTCCCAGGCTGAGACAAGAGAATCGCTTGAACCTGGGAGGCAGAGGTTGCAGTGAGCTGAGGTCACACCACTGCACTCCAGCCCGGAGGACAGAGTGAGACTCCGTCTCAAAAAAGAAGAATCATCAGTCAACAATGAGGGTTGCTGGAAACCTCAAAAGAGTAGTCATGGTAGTTGTTACTAAACTCTCTCCCTCTGTAATTTGCATCCACTCCAAAAAAGTACAGGGAAGCCAGGCGTGGTGGCTCATGCCTGTCATCACAACATTTTGGGAGGCCAAGGCAGGAGGATTGCTTGAGCCTAGGAATTCAAGACCAGCGTGGAACACAGGGAGGCCCTATCTCTGGTGGGGGGTGGGGGGGGGAAGATAGGCATGGTATGTGTGCACCTGTGGTCCTAGCTACTTGCGAGGCTTAGGTGGGAGAATCACTTGGGCCCGGGAGGTTGAGGTTGCAGTGAGCCATGATGGCACTACTGCACTCTAGCCTGGGCAACAGAGTGAGACCCTGTCTCAAAAAAAAAAAAAAAAAAAATGTATAGGGAGCAGTTGAGAGTAGATACCAGGGATACCAAATCTCAGCAAGGAAGAGAGAGAAGCCTTCCTCTGAAAGTGACATTTGAACTGAAGCTTTAATAAGAAGAGTCTGGAAAGACTCTTCTCAGAAGTAGGACAAAGCAGGAAAGTAGGTTCATAGGTCCTGAGGTGGGAAGAGGCAAGGCCTTTTAAAGAAGGTCATTAAAGCTGGAGCAGAGAGAAAAGGGGAAAGAGTATTTCCAGATGTAACTGGGCTGGGAGGCAGGAGCCGGGTCACACACATATAATACTTTTATAGGGCATCTATACCAGCATGTCACAGGCAAATTGAACATCCAATGTGAGATTAAAACAAGATGAACTCATCATGTCACTATCTTAGAACTAGGTCGGTCATTCAACCATTTCAATGTTATCTTGCAGGTGCGCATTTATAGATAAGCCTGTGCAAATTCTGCCATCTGATTCCCCTTAGCATTAATAGTTCTGCCTGACAAAACCATCTGCACCGGCCTAACACTCCACTCTTTAAGTCTCTTACACATGAAGAGGCGTCATGATTTTTCACTGATCTGAAATTAAAATTTCCAGCCATAAAAAATATATTTAGATCCAAAGCTACATGTCACTCCTGAAATCCTGTCATTTAAATCACGTTAGGCGTTGAATGAGATATAGGTGAAATTTAACTTTCACTGCATTTTAGTCTCGATCATGGCAAATTTATAACTCAGGAGTAAATCCTGCTGTCAAGGAAAACGTCTTCACTAAATCAGATTTGTTGCTTCCCTCTCTCCTTCAATACTTTTCTAAAAAAAAAAATGGGAATGCTCTTCAACAAAATCCAGTTGTTTTGTCTCTTCCTAGCCACAAAGGCTCTACTGAGTTGCCAGTTTAGCCACTGGAAACTCCAGAATTTCCTACAATAGTATATTCGGTATTCAATTTGCTCAGCAAATGGTGTGTTGGATATTTTTACTCAAATCCATATTGACTAAATCTAAAGCAATTGCTTGGGGAAAGGTCACTAAAGAGCTTTCTTGTAGCTGAATTCCATTTCAGTCCCTGTCCCCACATGACTTTCAGGGAATAGGTGGCACTTTTGACTAATCCTATATTTCTCAAAGCAAATGTGCCCACTGGCTCCTGTGAACATGGGTTTTCCTTGTACTTCTCTGGCTAGTCCAACTCTGTGTTCTCTGCAGGCCCATCTACCTTCCCCAAGATGTCTATTGAAGGCTGGTATAACTCACAGCTCAGGGGAACCAGTACACACTCAATCCATCTGTCCCAGGAATTCTCATTAGCCCTAAGGCATTAATTTCCATGTGCATATTAATGCCTCTCAAATCTTTATTTCCAGTTCTGACTTGTGTCCTGAGTGGCAGACCCATCTAACCAACTGGTTTCTTAGACATTTCCAACTGGATATATCTACATTTATCTAAAACAGAATTCATCCTCTTCCTCCTACACCCGCCACTTCCACAGAGCTCACTGTCTCAATGGAGCACTGCCTTTGGACCTAGTTGCACAAACCAAAACCCCTGAAATAATGTCTCTATCTTCTCTCCATAACTAACACCAAGAATTGTCAACCTCATTTGCCAAACATCCCTTAAATCAGTCCACTTCTTAACCCAGCCCCTGCCTCCAATCAGATCTAGATTAGTAACCACCATCACTTAGCTGTATTACTTTAAGAGCCTCCCAAGGTAATTTTACACTGCAGGTCATTCCATCCCACCATCCATTCCCCATTCCCGGTCATCTACCAGGATCAGGTAGCTCACTGCGCTACTTCCTTCTTCAGAACGCTTCGAAGGATTCTCATCTCCCTTAAAATAAAATCCAAACTCATTACTGTCATATCCCCTGTCTACCTCTCCATATCATGGTAATCTTATTTTCATTCTGTCCATAGCCATCCGAGACTTCTGCAAATGTGCCACTCTCTTCCTAAACACTGGGGCTTGCTGCAGTTTTCCCTGGACACACATTTCCCCCACGTTCTCCTATCCAACTCCTCTATATTCTTTCCGTTTCAGAGAATATACCACTCTTCTTTGGAAGTAAACCCATTGCTTCTAGGCTAGGTAAGCCACTCATCTTATTTTCTTCCTATGTAGCCTTCAGGTCACCTGTTGTATTACAATTGTAATTAGAATATGAGTTCTATCTTATTCACCTGACACATAAGCTGGTATACAGTTACTCCTAAACACCTATTTGTTGATTACGTATTTGTTCATCCTTCCTTCAATACTTTTGTTAAAAAACTGAAATCATTTCAATAAAATCCAGTTGTTTCACCTTTTCCCAGCCATAAAGGTTCTATTAGAGTTGCCCGTTTAGCCAGTGGAAATTTCAGAATTTCTTACAATAGTGCAATTGGTTTACACCAACAAATTGTGTCTTGGATATTTTTATTCAAATCCATATTGACTAAATCTAAAGCATCTGCTTTAGATTTACCCAGGCAGTGGGGGGTCAGTCTAAGTTCCTGCCCCATTCCAGAGGCAAATCAGCCTTCATCCCAAATGAATTCAATGACAATTCCTTGTTTTGTTCAGTTTTTTGAACAATTAATTCCATTATAGAGACTCACATATCCTCAGACTTGTCTGCAATTCAGCATTTCTCATTTCATACTGTTTGCTGTTCATTAACTGTCCATGAGTGCATCTCACCTCCCAAACTGGGTTTTGTGATTGATGACTCTCCCACCACCCCAAGATTCATGCCTCCTCCAGTGCTCACTTGCTGGTCAACTGATTGATCAATGATGACATCTCCAGTAAAAGTGTAATTCCCTTTACCAATAATCATGAAACATGCCCAAGCTGACTAATGCCGATTTAACCACAACTCTACAATAAGTCCATAGAATGAAACTTTCAATTTATGCAAATGTAGCATTCATTAAAAAATACTAATTAGTCTTATGTACATATTTTTCTTCCTCCCTACCTCTAAAAGTTCCTTAAAGCAATATTTCAATTAGACTGTTTTCATGAGGAATCTGGCAGGTGGATTTTAGGAAGCTCGATAAATATCAGTTTGAAAAACTAATTAAGCTTTGGGTGAGAGGGGGAGTAATGTGTCAACATTGCCTTAGTTCAAAAAACGCAGGAACTGACTTAAGTTAAAAAAAAAAAAAAACACAGGGAAAATTTTCCCATCATTTTAGAACTGTGTGTATATGTAAAACACCTATCTGCATAAAGTTAAACCTGTGTTTGGATATACATGATTTCACTAAAAGCCTCATGCAATTTAAAACTTGAGTAATTCAGGATACACAAATGATAGAGGCAAATTGCAAACAATATATTTATTCATCAAACCCCTGTCCTTTAACAGAATGTAAAGATAATCATGAAAGCAATGTATAAAGTCATTCAACCAGAGTCAGAAAATGCGAGTTAGAAAATCAGATTGGACAATGTCTTGTGACAGGTGGAAGGTGGCCGGCAATATGAAATGCACTGTGTTATTTTAGGAATATTACTCTTGCATATTATTCATAATTCACATTTTATCATTACTTATAATATAAAGTTTAAAATAAATGCAAGGTCTTATGGAGGAAGACCTGATTTTACTGAAGAAAAGATGCAGTTCTGTTAATGTGTGTGAATGTTTTCCCTTCATCCTGCCTCCTTTTGGCACAATCAGAATGGGAAATGACTGGCTGGAATAAAAGAGGTTTGAAGGTCACCCATGTTGTAGTCAATTTGCCTTGGGTTTTAATTTATGTGTTTTTAAAATGTGGACAGCATCCAGATGGTAAGTTTTCCAATGAAGATGGATAAATTAATAAATAAATAACCCAAGCATCCTTTCAGAGGACATGCTGATATTTTGACTTCTTCATAAATAATATCTAGTGTTTTAGCGTTTTTAAGGGTGCGCTAGGAATGTGAATTGTAAGCAGATACCTCTGGTCACCTTTTGATAATGAGCCCATCTTTAAATAATAGACAGCTTTCTCTTCCTTTCTGGGACGCACATTTGAAGCTTGTGACAGTGAGAAATGTACTTGTGAGAATGAAGTAAGCAGTGTCTCCAAATGGACTCTAACTCGGACCTGTGTTAGTCCTCCTTGATTCAGATACTGAACTGTGTCCAGAAGATACACATAGAATTCTTGCAAGACCTTGAGATTTGAGGCTATCCTAGATGCATCTGGCCCTTCACAAGTCAGAATACACACATTCTTAGTGTGTGTGAGAGAAGACACTCACACACGCTAGGGAGTCTGCTAAGTGCCCCATTTTCCGGAAACAGGATCACAGGTATAGGCCCATGTCTGCCATGTATGTTGTGCATTCCATGGCCATAGCCAATTGGACTGGACCAAGTAATGACCACCTGACCCAAGATGGACCAATGAGGTTGTCGTTCCTGGGTCTTTGGCATTAGGCCAAAGGACTCTCAGTGAGTATCAACTCATAATCTACAAACTCAAAAAAGCATTAGGAACCAGACTATATGACACCAACTAAGAGAAGCTGTCTACAGCAGAAGGAGGAAATGTCCAAGACACAAACAAAAGCTAAAGATACAATAAAAGACTTCTGTCTCCTTTCTAGCCCCGTCTAGCCACATTTGTACCACTGAGTTTCATTAGACACTCCTATATTTTAAAAATAAACAATCTTTTTATGTTTAGGCTGACTTGAGTGTGTTTCTGTTATGTGCAACCCAGGAATGCTAACAAAGCCTTGGTATAAAACAATGTTCTTCCAAATTGTGACCCGACCTCCTTGATGGCCAACATGCAACATAACATAATACGGTGGCAAGGCTTAAATATGAATGGAAAGGTTTGTGGATATACGGAAATGAAATCGTAATACCTCAGCATTCTTATTCCTCTTATGAACTAAACAATTTTCTTCTGACTGAATGAACAACAGGATTTAATGAAACCACACATTTCATAATGTGTTTGGTCATGCATTTCAGTTTTGTTTGGAATCAGAATCACTCCTCTCCTAGAATATGACAGATTCAACTCTTAAAAATGTATAGGCTGTAATTAGCGTATCATTGCCAGAAACATAAGAATATTTTCCAGAGTAATGTAGATGTCACCACAAAAAGATCATTTTGAAGAGCTCTTTATGACAAAAAAATGCATACCTTTCAAAAATATATTAAAAGGGCATCTTTAAAAGTGGCTCTCCTTTCTACCGAAAACTTCTTTTCTCCTCTTTAGAACAAAGAACATGCAGATTCTGACTTCCAGTAAACCACTGTCTTATCCTTTCAGTAATTAATGGATGCTTTGATACCAAGGAATCCTAAAGAACATTTTTCAAGCCTTAAATGCAGGCTGGGCTGATTCACACATAACACATCTAAAAAGATCTGAGGAATAAATAATCACGAGTTGCAAACACTTGCCCGGAGCAGTTGGGCACCAACCAGATTTCCAACAAGTGATGTGATTTTTTATTATAACAAGGAAAATTACTTACTGAAACACAAAAAAAGTGCCTCTCTTCCTAATCCCCGGCCTTGTCCTATAGACGAACACACACATTTCCTGGGTGATCATTTAGCAAATCCTTTTTTTAAAAAAATCACACTGGCTCTGGGGCACGTTTTTTGATGGATTTAAAAAATCTGTGCCCACAAAGGAAGTTTATTTCATTGGCTAGGCTTCTGACTAGGTTAAAATCTGATTAAGCTAGCCTACAGGTAAATGTCTGTCAGCTGCTTGGCTTAAAATATGAGTTGGCACTCGAAAATATTTGGAAAAATTAGATTTTGCAGGGTGTAGAGGCTTTTTCAGGTAAGCGACAAATTATTTTTAAGCAGACACTTGCTTTCAGCCAGGATCTCAAACACTGAAGACACTGGCTGCTGAATGGGGTATGTGAGGAGCTGATTTATGCTGACACAGCCCACTGCATTTTTCAGGGGATGGTGGGGTGGCAGGAGGAATGCAATAGAAATGAGGCCGCCAGTCACCTTCTATGACCAGGATCAGAATAAAGTATAGGGACTGGAGGTCAGTTTAAGGGACACCACTCTGGAGACACGGCATTGGGTGGGACAAAGACTTTCTTGCCCTCATAATGTTCCTCAGAGCTAGATCAGCCTGGAAGTTAGGTCTTCTCCACACTATCAGTTAGTGATTTTTAAATCATTTGCAGAAAAACCATTTTAGATTAATGTAACAAGCGTCATCCCCAGTTTGTTCTACTAACTAGCCATGGAGAAGGGGGATCTATGCTTAAAAAAAAGAAAACAGGGCACGGGGAGAGAATTTAAACAGAGAATATCTATACTGACTCTAAATGATTTGACTCAGTAGTAGTAACAACAATAGGAAGAGCAGACAATAATAATTGCTCCTATTCATTTGCCCATATGTCTGGCATCTTGCCAGGTACAATCAATACACAATTTGTTTTGTTTTACACAACAATCTAAGCAGAATTTTCTTATATCTTTTTTTTTTTTTTTAATTCTCACTCGGTTTCCCAGGCTGGAGTGCAGCAGTGCAATCTCGGCTTACTGCAACCTCCACCTCCCGGGTTCAAGCGATTCTCCTGCCTCAGACTCCTGAGTAGCTGGGACTACAGGCACGTGCCACCACGCCTGGCTAATTTTCTGTATTTTTAGTAGGGACGGGGTTTCACCGTGTTAGCCAGGATGGTCTTGATCTCCTGATCTTATGATCCACCGACCTTGGCCTCCCAAAGTCCTGGAATTACAGGCGTGAGCCACCGTGCCTGGCCTCTAATACATGCTTTTAAGGTGAGAAAACTGAGGCTTGCATAAGTAAAGTTACATGTCTAGGTCATGCAGGCAGCAGTACAGGGCCCAGCATTCAAACCTGGGCACACGTGTCTGGGTTCAAATCTCATGCTCTAACTCACTGTGTTATTCTTTGTGCCTCTTGGGTGATCAGAAGGGAGGTGCCCATGGTAGCCATAAAACTTTACTGAGATACAGAACAATCAAGACACATGGAACATAAGAGCTTGTCTAGGAAGTAAAAAATAAGAACAAGTAGTTAATATAAAAAACACTTGAATGTCAAGAACATTGCATTTTCAATCTTTCAGCATGAAGTTTCTAAGACCTCTGTAACCAAGAAAGACTAAGGCTAATCAAAGGTCAACATTTAATACAGTCATCATCAAACCCTTGTATGTGATAAAAGCTGCTTCAGCCTAAGAAATCAATTCCATTATGGCTATTTATGCAGTGATGCTAGTAAATCTATGAGAAATAAACTGGCCTCACTTACACCATTGATTACCCAGGCTTAAGACAGATGGCACTGCATACTTTAATGCCTAGGTCGCAAAATCATTTTTCTCTTTAATAACATACCCTTTATTGAAAAAGAAATCACTTAAGCATCATGACAATAAAGCATTGCAATTTCCATTAACCTTTTCAAAAACTTGTGATTAGAAATGTATCAGTAAAATATGGGAAAGAATATAAAAATGGTTTTGCCTTCTAAAAGCCAATTCGTAAGGAAGCCACTGCTAGAGATTTTCTCTTCTAACTCTAGTAAAAATTAGTTAGGTCATCACTGAAGACTATACAGAGCCTACTTAAACAATTTTTTCAAACTAGATAATTTTTTATTGTGCCTTTATGTGAAAACATTTACAATTTTTACATTAGTTCATAAAAGAATTGTTCTGAAGCTTGGCAATTTTTAAGGACAGGTAGATACCTGAGGGAAAAAACATTTGAAAAATTGAGGTCACATGAAAAGACTTAAAAGGGAAAAAAATTACTCCATAATGGTTACATTTTACGGCTGTCAACAAAACAAAACCTTAGAACCCTTTGAGATCCTAATCAAGCAATTTAAAAAAATAGATGAAAATTTGGTTACTGTAAAATAAGAAAAGTAGTCATCAAAAAAACTGAAGAAAAAAATGGTTTTCCCATTATATTTAATTGAAAATTCCAAACAAATAATTGGAGATAAAGGAACACAAACACTAAGCTCTCTCAGAGTCCTTCCCAGTCCTTTTGCCAAGGTTTCTCGAACACCAAAGCAAAATGTAAAGCAAAATTCCCCATAGTAACATTAACACATCTGCATCAAAAATATGTGTTGCTATATATATACATGCATTCAGACCTATAATTTTAACAATTAGTTCATTTCTTAAGCACTGAGGTGGGTAGTGACAGCTAAGACACCACATATTAAAAATTTTTAGTGTTTCATCCCACTCCCTGTTGCAGTGTCTAACTCTGACTTCACTGCCCACATACGAAAACTGGACCAGCTCCCAGCCTATTATATAAAGCTCTCCCTTCTAACTGGGGTCACAAGCATGACTTTCATACTCCTGGAAAATAACTTTTATGCCAACAAACAAGAAATTGCTAGGGTTAGGTCGACACAACAGAGGCAGCAACCTGCTTCGAAAGACAGATTATTACTGAAAATGTGGTAAATAATTTCCCATTATCTGATACTGATGAATTGGAAAATCGCATGTCGAAATTCACAAAACACAGCCCTATTTATGTCCCTAAACCCAAGCACTATGAAGTCAAGTCTAAAGCATTTATCAGATCTACTGATTTAAGTAAATTCATTAGTTAAACCATCCTTATCTATCAGATAACACATTAGGGGTTGCAGAAGGAAAACCTGCATCCAATAATGTTTACTTTCTTTAAAAACCCACTTGGTAAGAAAGGGTGACATATGAAGAAATGGCCAAAAATATTCTACAGAGAAGGGAATAAACTGGAAACTTTACCCATAGCTAGTGAAACTCGTATCAACTCTGACTTGACTTACTTCCATTCCATTTCTGCTTAAATACAGGAAGTGCAGGCTACCTAAGCGTGATGGAGTAGAAAATTAAAATCACTTAATCACAGTAGCAGTGTCAAATATTCTTTTGAAGTTACCTGGCATTAAAAAGTGTATGCTCTATTCCTTTTTCTTTAACAAAAATCTCACAAAATAGTGACCTTTCATTATCACTATTGCCAAAATAATTATATCATGGACAAGTGGGGAGATGGGAGTTCTGTAAAAGTATCTTGATAAATGGAGAAATTTATTCCTTTCTATTACCAGGTTGGGTTAAACCAAAGCACTGAATTAACACAAAAAGGACTTGGAAGTGAACATCTAGAAAATAGTTGGCAATGTATGTTAATTACCTTGATTTAGACATTCCATAATGTACACATATATCAAAACATCATGTAGTGTACCATAAACATAGTTGTCAGTCAAAAAAATATTTAAAATTTAAAAAAGAAAACTACACTAAACAGACACTCTTACAACAGCCTTGTTTCACTTGTCTTTCCAATAATGACAGAAAGCTAGACCCCCTTTCTTGTTTTTGAACCTCTTCTTGTCTAAGAAAACAATTAGGATACATCCTAAGATAAGCTTTTCATTGAGGATTCAAGTATTCCCCAGCAATAATGTGGACAATAACACCATTATTGAAGGATTACTGCACAACATCTCATGTTCTCATGAGCATTTCTGAAAAACTTCATATTTACTGAGGGTTTACTATGTTCCAAAACACTGCCACAACTAGTACCTTCTTTAATGCTCACCTCAAAACAGTAGGTAGGTTTTAATCTCTTCGCATTTAAGACTTGGTTTTGCCAGGTAGCCTTGGAATCTCAACAGTCTCCCTAGGTTTCCATATCCGTAATAAAGGCAGATGTTGGATGAATCTAAATTTAGCCATTTTTGGTAACTGTGCACGAAAAAGATTTTTGTTTGTTTGTCTAGGAGTAAACAAGGATGATGGCTAGAGAGGAAAGTAATGCATACTCAAAAATATACTTGGAGGAGTGCATAGGAATAAGAAAGGCTCCAAACCAGATGGAGCACTTACAACTTTAGAAGAAAAATGACTGGAGAAATCCCAGCAAGAAGGTAAAAAGAGGAGTGAAAAAAACAGGGTCTTTGGCTGAAATTTGCAAATATACACAGAGAGATATACACTCATAGTAACACTGCTAATGAAGAGTTGAGGTAAATTTCATCATAAGTCTGTTTTTGATTAATTCTATCTTTGGCTAAGGAAAAGTTCTAGTTTCCTGATGTTTTCATTAGTATTATGTGGGAGACAACCACAATATCTGTTCATTAATATATTTATATCTGAGGTTAATTCAAGGTTGTGTTTAAATATAACACAGAAATATAATTAACTCATAAGATAATATGCATTGTTAGCATTATTGTTTTTTTCTGTTTCATTACATTATTTAGAACAAGTAATTTAGTCATAATATATATAGCTGTAAAGGTAAGCTGCAGCCTTTTGAGGTCAAATTTAATTAATTGGTGATGTATTTTCTTAATTTTGTTTTGAATGTATTAATTATATTGTTTTAATAAACACGCAATAAGACAATTGAAGAACAAATTTTAAAATAACAGACAAGAAAAATAAAAGGCTTCAGATGAACAATATATCACTAAGAAATCAATTACCAATTTTTATTTAGTAAAATAATAGCTTTTATTTTTGTAGAAATAGTAGTTCTACAGAAAAGCAACTTACAGCTTCTATACAAAATACCTTTGAAATGCAAGGGGCAGTAGGTTTGTTATCTTAAGCTGTTGTGAGGTAAATTTTAGACCCAAAAGGTATATAATTCCAGCTCTTAACAAATCGATTTACTAATCCACCCAAGACGCTATCAATCTGGGAGCCAATCTTTCTACCTATCACCAAAAACCAGGGTTCCATCCCCATTCATAAGAACATTAGATATGTCAAATAAATTGAAGGCCCTATTCAAATCCCAGTTCCCTGCCAGTTCTGATCTCTACCTGCATCGTTCACACCGTAATCTACTTAAATTGAAAAATGCCTGTTGGGTAAAACCTGTTGAACTTTCCACCCTCTCCTGAGCCAAGAGAAGGTGACAAGCATTATGTCTGCCAGTCAGTTATGTCAAAACAAAATGCCCATAGATACTGGTATTGTTCTGCCAAGTCCTAGCACCAAAACTAGATTTAACTAAAAGATCAGACATTTTATGATCTAGTTCTTACAAACGTAAGCTGGAAGACTTCTCACATGTTGAAATTAGTTAAGACAAATAATAGTGGGTTCATTCTTTTATTTCACAAAAAATGTAAATAGGTCACCTATAACATACATAGTACTACACTCAGCACTGAGGTTACAGAAATTAATGAGACAGCAATGGTACCCGCCCATAGGATTCTGGCGGAATAGTCACGTACAGCAGCCTTGGCTGTGAGTTTTCAGACCTCTAGAAATTCATGAGACCAGTAATGAGGTTATGAATAAAATTTAACGTAAATTGTATACATATATATGTATTCTCTACATTGGAAAGTAAAAGACAAATTAGTTCTACAGAAAAAAAGTCTGTTCCTCTCTCTCCAGACACTTTCTTTTTTGAGGGGGAAGGGAAAAAGGAAATCAGAAAACAATAGAAAGTCTAAACAAAACATGGAATGCAAAAAAAAAAAAAAAAAAAGAAAAGGAAAAAGACCTATATGGCCAAAATTTTACATATAATTTCAAGAAATGTATTAGCCCCATATTAGGAACCCATATATTGCATTCTGGTGAGAGAAAGTCACTATTATTATAGACAGTTTCAGAGCTGACATATAAAGCTACATCACATAATATCAAATGAATTAACTTTTAGCATAGCAACCCAAACTTCTCAATTCACGAAGGTAAAGGTAGACAAGCGCACTGTAACACAAAGAACTTCCACTTTGAGATGAAACATTCTGGATTTAAAACCCTGACTGATCACTAATTCTAGCCCATAAGTACATCATGAAGGCCGAGACAATGTATTGTATTTTAACAAAAAGGGTATACTATACACATAAACATATATTTTTGGCTTTTTCAAACAAGTTATTAGCTTCTTTTGAAAATGTCAGATGTTCTGACTAATGTTGGCTTATATTCTCAAATGTCAACCAGTCAAATAGCATGTTAGACATCTCTCCTACCTTTCATCTTCATGTCATATACACCTGGCTCCTATTAAACCTAAGTTTATCCCAGATATATGATCTAAGTAGCTGTGATGTTTATAAGACAGACCAACAGAAAGAGCCGAAAGGTCCAACAATGTATTGCATCCACATCATGGAAAAAAGCAAAAATTTATCAATCACCTACTATGTGACACTAAACTATACGTTTCTAAGTATTACAGTTTAATTCCCACAAAAACTCTTATCACGCAGGTATTCGTATTAAAAGTCATTTTACTGATGAGGGAACAAGTTCAACAGATGACCAGAGTCGTACTCACACAGTGGCAGTAATGAAATATGAACCCCAGGGATCTGGCTCAAGGGCCTCAGCTATGCAGCATTAAAAAACATAGATGAGGCCAGGTGCTGTGGCTCACACATATAATCCCAGCACTTTGGGAGACCAAGGTGGAAGGACTGCTTGAGCCCAGGGGCTGAAGATCAACCTGGGCAATATAGCAAGACCCTGTATCCAAAAAAAAAAAACAAAAAAAACCTGTGCATGGTGACACATTCCTTGAGCCCAGGAGTTCGAGGCTGCAGTGAGCTGTGATGTGCCACTGTATTCCAGCCTGGGAGACAGAGCAAGACCCTGCCTCAAAACACAAACAAACAACAACAACAACAACAAAACCAGAAATAAGCCCCTGCTAAGTACTTGCTGCTGGCCTGGGTGCTGCCCTCTGAGTCACAGACTCAGTAAGTAGCTACTTACTGACAATGAAAAGACTCCCATTATCTATTAAGTGGAAATAAGTTTATGAAGTCATATTGGCATTTCAAAAGAGTGTTACTTGTTTGCAAGAGAAACACACGCTTTCTTTAACTCACATATTGTGTGAATTACTTTGTAATGAACATGTATTACTTTGATAATCAAAAGACCATAAACAATTTGCATTTTGAGAAAAAATTATTTTTATATTCTGCCTCTATACTTGTTCTAGCTTACAAAAATAAGGTCTTAGAAATGACATTAAATGAGACTCATTGTTCTGGTTTTTTTTCTTGAATTTAAAGTAAAGTGTGTTAATTGTGAAAAATCTGTAGAATGCAGCAAGGTACAAGTAGGAAAATTAGATTTCATTTTTGAAGAACTGAGAGATATTAGAAAATACAGAAAATATTCACAATATGCAAAGTGATAAAGCAGACTGTAAACATATTCATTTTGATATTGACTATGTTTTCATCTCCCCCTACCCTCTGCCAAGTACTGGAAGGAAATGAGTCAAAATGACAACAGATCACTCTATGATCAACAGAATCTATGATCAACAGAAAATGGTACCTAAACTCAGACTACTATACTCCTAAAATTATTTCTATCAAGAAGATGTTAGACTCCACCGAGATTTCTATAAGGATGACCTCTCTTCCTTCAGTTTTATCTGAAAAATAGAGATAGAGGTTTTTGTGGAAAAATGTTTTTAATAAGTGATGATTAAATGGCACAATGCATGTTAAGTACTCTAAGTATACACAGGAAGTAGTTTTCAAAAAGTTAACTATCATTATTATTGTAAGAGTTTTTGTTTTTAATTTTTTTAAGTTGGCAAATAAAAATTGTACACATTCATGGCATACAACATTATGTTTCAAAATATATTGTGGAATGACTCAATCAAGCTAATTAACACATCCATCACCTCCCGTACTTACCATTTGTGTGTGTGTGTGGCAGTAATATTTTAAAACCTATTCTCTTAGCAATTTTCAAGTATACATTGTCATTCATTATAATCACCCTGTTATACAACAGATCTCCTGAGCTTATTCTTCCAAGGACTTTTTTTTTTTTTTTTTTTTGAGATGGGGTCTCACTCTGTCACCCAGGCTGGAGTACAGTGGCACAATCTCAGCTCACTGCAACCTCCACCCCCTGAGTTCAAGCAATCCTCCCTTCTCAGCCTCCCAAGTAGCTGGGACCACAGATGCGTGCCACCACGCCCAACTAAGTTTTTGTATTTTTGGTAGAGATGGGGTTTCCCCATGTAGCCCAGGGTGGTCTCAAACTCCTGAGCTCAAGCAATCCACCCACCTTGGCCTCTCAAAGTGCTGGATTACAAGTGTGAGCTACTACATCCGGCCTGAGGAATTGTTTTTGATAGAAGTATGGGGAATATCTCTTACTGTTCAACATCTGATTCAGGAGGTCGCAGAGGGACCTCAGGAATTTGATTTTAGAAAATCTACCCTGAATTATGTGAAACAGATGAGCACCTGGTTAGCTCCTGCTGTTAGCCTGGGTGCTGAGGCCCCAGCTGTAACCAGTTTCTTCAGTAAGGTCAGCTTCTGCAGGTCCTGGTTTCATTCTGGGACCCCAAAGACCAAGTTGATTCCTTCTTCTAAGAGGATCCCTTCAAAAACATCAAGACCCACTCTTGCACTCTATTTGCACACCACTGTCCATTCCAATCATTTCCTCTAGCACTGGGGCAGGCTCACTTACTGTCTGTCATAAATCCAGCGTGCCTTCTATACCTAATGCTTCCTCTCCCAACCCATACACTGATCCATACCATAACTGTGGGTGGGTCCTCCTGCTTCCCCGGGATGTGGCTCATGTAGACCTGCCCACATTTTGTCCTATCAGAGTTGACCTCCTATGCATCCTATTCCAAGGGATGCCTTGAGCTTTGTAATGCTACTGCTGGGGCATTACCTGATGAGTTTTATTAATGTATTCAATGTAGTTCAAGTGCTTACATTTTGCTCTTTCCTTAGACTACCATTTGAAGAGGCAGTAATACCTTAACTCAAATAATGGAATTTCAGGCATTTTTGAGACTAACTTGGAGACTTCGAATCATTTAGAGGATTGGCCAACTGGAAAGAGAGTGGTGACACCCCTGAAGCCTACAAATCATCTATTATTTGACTCCAGTTCCTGCTGACATTGTGGGATTCTAGTAAACTTTAGAAGGGAAACGGTGAGATTGAGCACAATGGAGAGGCATCATATCCACATTAAAGATGCACGGCTTTTTATCTGAACGTGGAAAAGCAGACTGTCAGCTGAAGGTTTTTATTTTTCTTTTCATTTACCAGTAATAAGGAATGAACGAAAATTACTCAAATTTGGCTTTGGAACATGTAAAAGTACCCACTTAATTCTGATGTACATTTGGGTTAAGATTCACTCTGTTGGTCTCTCAGGTTCTATGAGGTCAAGGAGCTTGCTTGTCTTGTTCACTATGAAACTCCCAAATGTTCAGCATATTGCCTGGTTCTCAATGAATACAAAGGAAGGCACTGTTCTGAGATGGTATGAGGACTGGACCAAGGAAAGGAATCTGGCAACTTCATAACCTTTGGAGTGTGGGCACTGGAGAGGCTTCTAGCGAACAAACCTGCAGAGAAATGCAGCATACAATTCTCATGGCTTCTGTCTTGGCTCATGAATGAAACTGATAATCTCAATCTAAAATTCCCAAAGGCACACCTTTTAACTCTGCTACAGTAATTGCTCATGTACATATTAACAGCTCTCAAAAACGTGGGCCTCATTGACTAATTGAAACAATCTGTCTTGATATGTGGATGTAATGGTTGTTAATATAAGAGCTACACTCTGGAAGAACAGACCTTAAAAAGATCATTTTCTGAGCCGGGCGCGGTGGCTCACGCCTGTAATCCCAGCACTTTGGGAGGCCGAGGCGGGCGGATCACGAGGTCAGGAGATCGAGACCATCCTGGCTAACACGGTGAAACCCCGTCTCTACTAAAAAAAAAAAAAATACAAAAAATTAGCCGGGCGCGGTGGTGGGCGCCTGTAGTCCCAGCTACTCGGGAGGCTGAGGCAGGAGAATGGCGTGAACCCGGGAGGCGGAGCTCGCAGTGAGCCAAGACAGCGCCACTGCACTCCAGCCTGGGCGAAAGAGCGAGACTCCGCCTCAAAAAAAAAAAAAAATCATTTTCTGAGCTAAACGATTAACGCTTAGCCTCACAGCATGAGGCAAGAGGATGAATGTGTTTATTTGGGAGTAACTAATTTACTGGGCTCTTTCACATTCTTAATACAAGACATACTTTTGGGGTAGGATTTGCTTTCTTAAACGTTCTTTTTATGAAGAATTAAAAGTTTTCATTCTCAGGAATTAGAGTTTCTTACCCTTTAAACCAGCAGGCCCACAAGATAAGAATACAATACAAGAATGCTGGTTTCCTAATGGGTAACACTGCTTACGCTGTTATGGGACTATGTTCATTAGCAGCCAAGATTCAACAGTAGACAGACAGACCGATCCCCTCCTCTGATCCCCTCCTCTAAAAGCTCACATGCAGTATACGGGGGTGAGGGAGGGGGAGGGAGTTAATAAATAAGTAAAGAAATCAATAAGTAAATAACTTCAAAAAAGTGATGAATGCTATGAAGAAAATAAAACTGGGTAATAGAAAAGAAAGTGACTTACTTTGGAAGAGGAGAGAGCATGAAATGATAAGACGGCTTAGGAAAGGAGTGAGGGATAATCAGGGAGAAGAACAAAGCCAGTGAAAAGAGGGTGGAGAGAAGTGTGGGGGTGAATGAGGGAGAGTAGAAGCCAGGTCAACTAGGGCCTTGTAGGCCAAGGTAAGATCTTTGGACCTACTCAACATGTGATTGGAAACCACTGGAAAATATTAAGTGAGGGAAAAATGTAATGCAATCCAAGTGTTTAAAAGAAAGCTTTGGTTACTGGATAAAGAGTGGATTGTGAAGGGCAAGAGAGACCTTTTTTAGAATCTATAGCAATGACTGAAGTCAGAAATGGTGTTGGCTTGAATCAGGGTAGAAATAGTGGAAAAGAAACAAAATAGATGGATTGGGGATCTGTTGCTTCATGTGACAAGAAGACTACTGAGTTCATATTAATAGTTAATACAGGCCGGGCGCGGTGGCTCACACCTGTAATCCCGGCACTTTGGGAGGCTGAGGCAGGCGAATCACGAGGTCAGGAGTTCGAGACCAGCCTGGCCAACATAGTGAAACTCCGTCTCTACTAAAAATACAAAAAATTCGCTGGGCATAGTAGAAGCACCTGTAATCCCAGCTACTCAGGAGGCAGAAGCAGGAGAATTGCTTGAACCTGGGAGGCGGAGGTTGCAGTGAGCCAAGATCATGCCACTGCACTCCAACCTGGGTAACAGAGTGAGACTAGGTCTTAAAAATATATATAGTTAATATAAATAAACTGTAAGAATGCCAAATCCTGCTCAAAGTACTCTATGTCTATTAACTCAAATTTACTCTATGAGGAGGGGGTTTATACTATTAATAATGTGCTTAATGATCACTTCTCTATGTTACATTCTTTAGTATATAACATATTATGCAGTGAAAACTGATCTGTAATAGGTATTACACAAGATTTGAATACTGGATAGTCAAAGCTTTAAAAGACTTTTAAAAAACTTACTGACTGGTAAGTTGTCCATGATTTTCTCTCCTCAAATTGTTCTTTTTTTAAACCAAGAAGTATAAACCGCATGCCCTGAGATAACATCAACATGATATCCCCTCCACGAGCATCTTCTGCCTTCAAAACAATTGGAATCAGATGTTTTTCTCAAAACACTCCTCTGTGGCCCACCCAACCATCCTCTCTCCTGAAATGTTACAATTATCTCCTAGCCTGGCTCTCAGCACCCACAGGTCTTCCCCACTCTCAAGTGCAGCCAGACGGATCCTTCTAAAACATAAACTAGATAGACTGGTGTGATGGTGTGTGCCTGTAGTCCCAGCTGTTCAGGAGGCTGGGGTGGAACGATTGCATTAGCCCAGGAGTTCGAGGCCAGACTGGGCAACACAGCAAGACCTTGGGTTGTAAAAAAAAATTTTTTTTGTTTAAAATAAAATGTTAAAAAATATAAGTTAGGAAACTGAGATGGAGAACATTCTCTGCTGAAAACATTCTAACAATTTCCCATCTTGCCTGCAGTAAAAGCCACAGAGCTTCCCATGGTCTCCAAGACCTCACACCATCACACTGCCTATCTGCTGACCGCACCTCCTATCACTCTGCTCCTTTCTCCTGCTGTTTCAGCAGCCCCGGGTTCCTGCCTCTGCCTCAAACAGGCCAGGCAGGCTCCTGTCTCAGGGCCTCAGTGCCTGCTGAAGAAAAAGCCTCTTGAGGCCAGGACACTCTGCCCTCCACAGAGAAGGCTCTGTTAATGAACCAAATGAATAAACACTGTGCGTCATTTAGAAATGTCTCTAGAGAAGCCAGTAAGGAAATAATTTAAACATTCTACATACTGTATTATCATGGCATCATGGCTGAAAGAAAAGCTCTCCACTGAACTATTTGGGGTTTCCCTACTGGCATATGTCACAGAACTATGTTAGCCCTGGAATATGTCTCAGGACTATGTTAGCCCTAGAATATGTCTCAGGACTGTGATAGCCCATTATCAAGCTCTAAGAGGAAGACATGTCATGCAGCATTTCCTAAGTCAACTTTTAGGCAGATAATTTAGATAGAATAAGATGAATCCAGAAAATATGCTGGGGCCATCTTTTTCGATGGGTGCTGACTATATATGCTTAGGTATTTCAGTACCCACTTATACCCTTCCAATAAATGACACAAAGAATGATGATGAAAGAGATAGAGACAGGCAATCAGAGACAAAGACAAATTCAAAGAAGCAAACACAGAGGCAGGCTAAGAAATAGCAAGGGGAGTGCGTGAGGTTTCTCTCACTCCAAGTCTTCCCTAATCAGGGCATGCTGAACACAGAGGCATGAACTCAGAAAATTCCCTGAAATACTGAATTTTAGAAATGAACAGAGTGAAGGTTTTAATAGGGAGATTCAGGAGTTGAAGCTCTATCTGTGTGGTAATAGCTGGGATTTAGAAGTTATTTTACTATTAACCTAAATATCTTCCACATACTAACCTGAGTTTTAAAGTACCCTGTCTTGCTAAGACATCCTCCAACACTCAAGAGATGAAATTTATATTTTTAAATAAGATAGGGTTTTGGTAAATTTGCCCAGCTGGTCTCCATCCATCACAGTAAACGTATCCAGAGCAGTATCCGTGCTCAATACAGCGCCAGGCCAAACAATCCGGACTGAGAAGCTTTTGAAACTTTCTTCCCATTCCATTAAAGGGGGGGTGCAATGAAATTCTATGCCAGGGATTTAAAGGGAAGAGAGGAAATAGACTTTCTTTCAAACTTGACTCCCTTCTATTCCTTATAAATCTTTCTGACTGTCCCTTCTGAGTGACGGTGGCACTAAAGAACTTGCTAAAGGCTTTAGATTTAAGATGGCTTGAAACCTTCCCGCTCAAATTTTGACAGGACAAGAGAAAAAGGCAGTTGGTGGTGTTGCTGATACACAGGCCCATAAATCCTCTTGACCTGAACTTACAATACATCTGATCTGGCGGCCTGAAGTCTCTACCTTCAGTGCACAAAGGTCTCCCCAGCCAGCTTTATTTGAGTTCCCGAGCTTGGAAGTGGATTCTGAGAAGAATAGTGTTCAAAGCTCCAGGAACAAATGTTGCAAAAAAGAATAAGAGGAAAAAAGTTAAAGCTTATAAAGAAGAAGAAAAAAAAAAACCTGTACAGCATCTAAGTGAAGCCTTTTCAATAAATAAATCAGATTCCAATATAAAACTGAACTACTATATGTGTATTTTTAAAACAAATTTTATTTTAAGGTATACAACATTATGAGGTACATAATCTAGATAGTAAAATGATGATTATAGTGAAACATATTAATATACCCATCATTTCCCATAGCTACCCAAGCCCTGCTGCAAGAGCAGAGATAATCCACACGTTTAGCAAAAATCCTGAATACTGCATACAATACATTTTTATTAACTATAGTCCCTCTGCTGTACATTAGTTCTTCAGATTTGTTCACTGTACATACCTGCTACTTTCTATCCTTTCACCTTTTTTGTTGCCGCCGTTGGAAGAGAAGAAGTCAAAATTACCAAAAATTCAACATAAAAACACCTCCTAAAGAATTTGTTAGTCTCTCATGTAGTTTATTATCAAAATTCCATTATTGTGGTCTGGAATCAAAAAGTTTTGCAAGTTTTAGTATGGTAGTAACTGTAAAATACAAACCAGACTTCAAGGACATAGTATAAAAATAGAATGTACTATGTCTCAGCGATACCTTTTTATATTGATTTTATGTTAAAACAATATTTTGGAATGTATTGGGGAAACAGATTAATTCAACTGAAATTGAATTTCTTTTATAGTAAATATTCTTGTTTAAGTTGTATTATTGTATAATATAAAAATATTTGTTAAAATAAAATAAAATAATATCTTCCTTTTTACCTCTTTTAAGGAGGCTTCTGAAAATTTAAAGTGACAATGTATGGTTCACATTATATTTTTACCAGATAGTATTGCTCTCAGTGATTAAAAATAGACTGAAGCGGTCAATCCAGATAAAAAGTATACCCTTTTGCACAGATAGCTCTAGGCATAAGTGCTGACTAATTTCTATTCCCTTCGTATCTCTCTGTATATTTTACTACAGGTTCAGCCATCTCTGAACATTTGAAGCCCTTTCATTTTTTTCTTTCCTACGATACAGATTGAGCATCCCAAATCTTAAAAATCCAAAATCTTTTCAATGCTTGAAAATCTGACACTTTTTGAGCTCTGATATGATGCCACAAGTGGGAAATTCCACACCTGACCTCACGTGACGGGTTGCAATGAAAATGCACTCACAACTTTGTTTCATCCATAAAATTATTTAAAACTTATAAAAAATTACCTTCAGGCTACGTATTTAAGGGGCATATGAAACATAAATGAATTCTGTGTTTAGACTTGAATCCTATCCCCAAGAAACCTCATTATATATAAGTAAATGTTCCCAAATAAAAAAAATTTAAAAATTAAACATTTCTGGTCCCAGACATTTCAGATGAGGAACACTCAACTGGTACAATAAGCAACAGTTAAGATTCTGAAAAAATGACTTCTACCTACTGCATCAGCGGTTCTGAAAACAACCTAAAACAATGACAAGAAAAACAGCAGAATTACTTACCTAATAAAACCAATTATGGTTAAGGTGTTGGAGATATTCGAGCCCAGATTCTGGAGTACTAACAGGAAGTCTCAGCCAAGCCTGCAGAAGCTCAGTCTTTCCATCTTTAAGATGGGTATAAGAAGAGTCCCTCTCTCACAAGGTTGACATGAAGAAACATCTAGAAAGTGCCTGATATAGGTCGTGTCTATTAAATTGCATCTACAATATCATCACTATTACCACTACCAACACCAGTATCAGTGACTTCAACCACAACCGCCACTACCCTAAGCCTTCTATATGGTTGTGAGGGCCACCACGGTCACCAAGTTTCTACACTGAGAGTATCTCCAACTTAACCAGGTTTTCTTTTCAGAGTGTGCCATCTTCTTTACTGTAGTTTTTGGTATGATTCAAACAGCTATCAGCACACCACGTGTCACTGACACACCATCAAACAGCCCTGAGCCAAGTTCTTGTCTAAGGATGACTGCGATGAGGACTGCCAGACATCATGGAGATTTACCAAGCCAGGGACCAAAGCTGTTTTACCTCACAAAACTTGCACGCTTGCTTTGCACAACCAGGCATTAACTTCTCCACTGAGTATTCTCTAAGTACTAGGGCATCCTCACATGTTCCTCTTAATTAACACAGGACATACACATAAAAGATCAGCCAGATGGAAATTAAACATTTCACTAGCAAAGGATGAAACATTCTGCTCTGAAATGGAATCTTTATTTCAATAAAGTCATTAACTAAATTTCAACCAATTCCTTTCCCATTTGATGGAAGTCACTACTAGGCTACACCACAGAATAGCAAACACCAGATAACCATGGGATGATCTCTCTAACACGTCCACGCTCCATGAAGAGGCAGCACAGAGAAAACAGGCATTGTCTTAAGCTTCATGACAAAGGACTCTGTGAAAAAAGAAACTTTTCAGAGACTCTATGAAAGGAGTTAACCAGCTTTCTATAGGCAGACAGTAAGGGAAGGGTTCCCGTAGAACCTCCGACCCGCCCCATGTGTTTACACCAGATACTTTGTGCAGATAAGGGAACCTGCACAGGGAGCTTGCCTAAATATGCCAGCGGCGGACAATTCAATTCCTTAACACATGCACGGGAGGGAAATAAATCAATATGAAGCAGCTCAGTCTAAGGGCCTGCATGCGCACTGGAAGGATGGGGTGGAGCCACCAGGAATTCACGCCATATACAAATAAGGAACCCAGCCTCATCAGTTTTTTAGATACAAGCCAGGGTATTCAACTGGGAAGGGGGCAACCGGAAACCATTTTTTCAGGATCCTTCTCTTTGCTGAAGGCTTTCCTTTCACTTAATAAATTCTACTGCACTCACTCTCTGGTGTCCACGTGCCTAATTTTTCCTGGTCATGAGACAAGAACCTGGACCTTGCTTAGCTAAAGGAGCAAAAATCGTGCATCACCTGTAATAATTCCAGGAACTGACATAAAGTACACAACACGGGGGAAAAACTGTTATACTGGAAATGTTATTTTTAATAGAAAATATCTCAGACCCCCTCTGATGACAGTTCTAATGATAAAACAAGATAGCATCAAGTTCATAAAGATGCTAAAAAATTGTTTCTTGAACAAGCCAAGATGTCTTTATAGTTTTATTTTTTATTTTATTTTATTTTATTAGAGATAGACTCTCATTATGTTGCCCAGGCTGGCCTTGAACTCCTGGGCTCATGAGATGCTGCTGAGTAGCCAGCACTACCAGCCTGGGCAACACAGGAAAACTTCATCTCAAAAACAAAATAGAAAAGGAAAAGAAACCAAAACAACAATGTATTTGAACAGGACCCCATTTCTTAAAAGGAATATGGACTAAAGGTTGAGAGGAGAAAAGTATAAACTTACATTTCCAAAACAGTGATATTATGAACTTATACACACACACACACACACACACACACAAGAAGAGAGGGACAGAGGCCATGTAAGTTTGGGAAAACATTGTGTTAAACAAAGGTAAACAGATTCTTCAGCGGAGGACTCTTCAAAGCCCTTAATATGCCAATGTACAAATAAATCTTCAAGAAAGTATTTCATCCATCACACTTATTTCCAGGCCAGGCATGGTGGCTCACACCTGAAATCCCAGGCTTTGGGAGGGCGAAGAGGGAGGACTGCTTGAGATCAGGAGTTCAAGACCAGCGTGGGCAACATAGCAAGACCTTGTCTCTACAAAAAATAAAAAACATTAGCTGGGCACGGTGGTGTGTGGTTGTAGCCCCAGCTACTCGGGAGGCTGAGGCAAGAGAACCGGTTGAGCCCAGGAAGTTGAGGCTGCAGTGAGCTGTGATCACACCACTGCTCTCCAGTCTGGGTGACACAGTAAGACCTTGTCATTCATACATGCATACAAATATGTATACATAAACTTATTCCAGCAGTGAAGGAGGGATTATTTAAGCGGTGCTACCCAACCTGACATGTAGTCTAGGCTTTAACATATCATGCTGCTGAAGCTCAGGATCCATGTGGGCCTCAAACCCTAGACAGGCTGGTCCACATCTAAGTAAGGCAGGAACCTGAGTGCCTGCATCAGTGTGGAGAGGGTGGCACTGTGCAAGGCCTTTATGTGTGTGACACAACTGGACGTGCTTACCAGAGACAAGGAACACATTCTCTTACCTGAGCCATAACCTAGGGGTCATTACAAGACAACTCTCCAACCAAAATGTGACAGACGTATTCCAGGGAAGAACCCCGATCGACTTCATAAAATTGATGGCAAATCATTAGGAAGGCTCTCAGGAGGAAGGCAGGATTTGAGCAGACAGGAGAAGAGTGCAGTAGGAGGTCAAGGTAACATACCTGAAGACATGGATATTGAAGACAATTGCAGGCCCAAACAGAATGTTCAAAGGAGAATCGATCACAGAACAAGGTCAGCCTAAAACTAGAAACTTCTGGCTGGACAATCCTGAACTTTGCCTAAGAATGCTGCACAATATGAAGACAAAGACAGGAGGAGGAAGAGAGAAGTACTGGGACACATCCACCCCACAGGGAGACACATGATTTAACCTGCTTGTGTCATGGTTGTAACTACCCAGCAGTGCTCTTTAGACATAAGACATTGAAGTCACTCAATAGGCATGAGACCCATACAATGGCCCTGGATACTTTTTCAAGACAAAAAGGTATTTTGTTCTTTTTATGAATTTGGTACAAAAACTAATTTGGTGGTAAAACCAGATATGAAGAAATGTGAAGCTATGTAGAGTACTGATATTTCCACTTAGCATGGCTGTTCATTTGCTCGTTATAGGAATATTAATGAATTTAAGGGTGTAGTTCCAGACCTTACTGGTTGCCTTCTGAAATATACATGGCACATGGGCTCCAACAGGGCCAGTACTAGTCCATGGCCTGTTAGGATCTGGGCCGCACAGCAGGAGGTGAGTGGTGGGCAAGGAGCATTACCACCTGAGCTCTGCCTCCTGTCAAATCAGCAGCAGTACATTCTCATAGGAGCACAAACCCTATTGTGAACTGCACGTGCGAGGGATCTAGGCTGCATGCTCCTTTTGAGAATCCAACTAATGCCTGATGATCTGAGGTGGAACAGTTTCATTCTGAACCCCCGACCCCACCCAGTCCACGGAAAAACTGTCTTCCACAAAACCAGTCCCTGGTGTCGAAAAGGTTGGGGACCGCTGGGCTATAATAACTTTCTAAGAAAGATTCTGAATTCTAAAACATCTGGCCTCAAGAGTTTCAGATAAGGGATTGCAGACCTGTACCATATGGTAACGTGTACATGGTATACATTAGGAAAAATGCCTTTGCTTCTATTCATTCACTAAAATGCTCTGAACAGAGCTGAAATGAACCAGCTGTGACTTTTACCAGAAGGGGCACATACAATCAATTTGGATCATTTAAGCTTATTGAAGACTTCAACTCATAAAGCACCAGTAAGTCTGAATCAACAACTCCCGTGATCTTTTATTGTCATAAATAAGATTTTAATTACCTCAAACAACAAGCATGCAATGAACCCCCCACTTTAATGGAGTTCTCAAAGGTTTTATCTGGAGGTTTCTCTTTGCATTAACTGCAACTTTGGTTATTAGTGGAAATACAGCATGATTCAATTTCTATTAGTGTTATATGAACCTTTATTTAAGTTACCAACCACAGAACAGGAATGAGTGTGGAATAGGAAAAAAGTTTAGGATACGATAGAAGCTGTCATAGATAACTGTGGCTGGACAGACAACAGAAAGCTGAGTAGCCACAGAAGAACTGAAACAGGTCATCCTGTTTTAATGACTGGAATATTCTGAGTTTGTTTACTTTAAGGACACTTAATCACATCTGCAAAGTCTGTTGTACCACATAAAGTAACGTATTTACAGCAGACATTTGGAAGAAGAGACATTATCTTGCCTACCAAAATCTCTACTGGCCTCTCTATTCCTTAAACTTAACAAACACCACCTGCCTCAGGGCTTTTGCATATCCTTATTCTACTAGGAAGCTCCAACTCATCTTTTCCGTCTAATAAGTATCCATGTCTCCATTGAAAGCTTCCATCCCCTATCAAAATGTCCCTCTACTTCAGACTATAACACAAATGAAATTGCACATATATTTACATGACCAATGTTTAATTTCTGTGTCACCACTGGAGTGTAAATACCTTGAAGGCAGGAACTGTGACTTTCTGACTTATCTTTGTGTACCAGCACAGGTACAACAGAAGATACTCAAGAAAAATGTGCTGCTAGGCAAGGAATAAAGCTCAGTAACAGGAGGTGAGGGCATCTGAGGATCCAAATTGAGTTCAGTCTCCAAGGCATGGCATTGTAATCTGACTTCAACTTTCTTTTCTAACTTTAACTGAGCTGTAAAGAACACTGGTTATTGAAGAGCTTTCGTCTTGTTTTGTTGTTTTGTTTGTACAAGGGCTTTCTTTGTTAACTATTAGACTAGATGTTTTTAAGTGTAGGAACTACAAGACGGAGTCTAGGATTCCAGCCAGGAAAATTCAGAGAGCTTTAATTTCTGGATGCCTACAAAGTTGTCTCAGATGACCTCAAAGAATTCCTGGGAAGCAACAAAACCTACAAAGTTGAGTTTGCTGCCATTTACCCTCAGGGAGCAGATCCAGCTTCTTGTGGGGCACATGTTTAAAATTCAGCCTGCAGAGCCACAGCACAGAGGGAGCTGTTAAAATTCCCAAGGTCGTGACTGCATCTCAAGTAGATACTAAAGAAACCAGGAACAGCAATGCTGTTACACATAAGGCAAGGTACATTTACTCTCTAAAAACCAAAGAGGATGGAATGACTTCCCAAGAAACAAGTCCTCTTTATTCAAATGTATTTTAAATGATGCTACTTAGATAAAGAAATGCTTAATTCCACTAAACACACTGCTTTCTCCACTCCAGAATCTCACCACAGTGACACTAGTGACATTTTGGGGCTGGATGATTCCTTTTAGTGGGGGCTGTCCTTTACATTGGAATGTATAGCAGTATCCCTGGCCTCTACCAACTAGAAAGTAATACCATAACACTTCTAACAATGGCAATAACAAGAAATGTCTCCAGACATTACCTAATGTCCCAGGGTGCAGGGGGGAGATGCTGACCCCAGCTCAGAACCATAGCTGTACTCTACCAATCCTAGTACAATCTTCAACAATGATTCTTCTGTAGCCCTCATACATACTGCATGCAAGACAAATAATTAATGCCCCCAATGCTGATAAATTGCTCCATGATAAATTAAATTTTCTTACTTTCATTCTAGTTTTTAAGAATGAAAACAATGTAGTTATATGGAAAACAATGTAGTTATATGAAAAGAAATAAACCAAGCGTAAGATGCTCAAATAGTATAAAAATCGTAGGGAGAGATGGGTATTAATGAAGAGCTCAAATAAAGCAACTTAACATAAAATATCACAGACACACTTTGGGCAAAGGCAAGCAACTTTCTTGTGCATATTTTAAAGTTAAATTTAATGCAGTTATTTAATCTCTGAAATTCAAGTTCCTCCAAATATACCATTAATATGGTTATCACATTTTTAGAAATCAAGCTATGAATCAGATGGACCTCAATGAGAAACCCAATTGATATAGGCAGCCTTACCATCTGACATTACTTAAAAGAAAAACATCCAAACAACCTGGTCAAACAATAAGCCTGGGCATGGTGGCTGCCATTTCTAATTAGCTTCTGAATTCAATGGCTCCCTCTGAGAAATGTAAAACTGAAATATTCATCAAAAGCCATAGGTTTCAAAAGAATATTAATCTCTGGCCAGGTACGGTGGCTCACGCCTGTAATCCCAACACTTTGGGAGGCTGAGAAAGGTGGATCATTTGAAGTCAGGAATTCAAGACCAGCCTGGCGAACATGGTAAAACCTTGTCTCTACTAAAAATACAAAAATTAGCCAGGCATGGTGGCACACACCTGTAATCCCAGCTTCCTGGGAAGCTGGGGCAGGAGAATTGCTTGAACCCAGGAGGCGGAGATTGCAGTGAGCTGATATCATGCGCCACTACATTCCAGCCTGGGCAACAGAGTGAGACTCCATCTCAAAAAAAAAAAAAAAAAAAAAAAAAAAAGGATATTAATGTCTTTGATACGTTATTCCCAGAATCAAATGTAAAGAGGAAACTGGCCATTTTTGGCATGAGGAAATGTAATTACACAGAGGCAAGGTTCCCAGTTCCTAGCTCTAGAGGTCTTCTTTTCCAAGGTAGCCATCTGATTAAGTTTTTAAACTTTCAGGACAGGTCTTTTGTCCAAAACGACATTAAATGAACAAACGGAAACCCAATTCTAAGACAAAGAGGCTTCAGAGCAAGGCTTGCTGGACACAAAGCTACCCCTTCAACTCATATTGCCAATGGGAACCTGTCAGCAAGACCAGAAGGAAAATCCTACACTTAAGAACATGATGTAATTTTGCTTCTAGGAATAAAGTTTTCCAAGTGGAAATAAAGCTAAGACTTCTAAGAAATGATTCATTCCATTTTAAGGGTGGAAGAGAACCAATTAAGTAGAAACCCAACTCATGAAAGATATCGTTATTGTGACTAGGATAGGAAGTCCCACAGATAGAGGAGTCCTAATGCAGGAAGAATTCTGATACTGAGAATTTGTCAGCTAAACAAGAAAAAACATGAAGCATTTTCTCAGAGTAGTTATCTCTGGTTTCTCCAGGAACAGTGGATAAGAAACAAATATACATGGCCATATAAGCATCTATAGAAAAATAAACATTACTTTCATATTGTGTAGAGATTCTTCAACAGAGCTTCCAGGATACTTAGAGGGTTCAAAAATGGGCCTGAGGAGCTAGGGAGAATGACGAAACCCTATCAGTTACATGTAAATCTATGTGTAGATAGATGCATGTGTCTTCTTTGTGAAGGGGGTCTCAAGAATTCATCAGATTATCAAAGCAGGACAAGACGTAGAAGCTATGAAATTCTAACAGTTGAAAACCTTTCTTGGCCATGCAGCTCCTTTGATTAACATATGTTACCAGTGAAAAGTCACTCCATGTTTGAATACAGCCATCGGCTGGAACTGTTACTGAAACACCAGGGGTTCGGTCTAGGTCCGGCTGCTCGCTGCACAGAAAGCCAATCACTGAGATCACAAGCATCGCCAAGGAAGGCTTTAATCGGGTGCTGCAGTCGAGAGAAGAGATGGAAGCTCAGTCTCAAATCCAGCTCCCCGACTGACTAAAACTAGAGATTTATATAGCAAGGAAGAAATGTAACAATGTGTAAGAAAACAAGAACTAAGGAGGGGCAAGGAGGTATTTGGTGCAATGGTCTGGTGAACTTCAGCCCTTTGATACTTTTTTGAGAGGCCTGAAGGTCCTTTCCTGAGGAAGGAACTCAAATAAAACATAAGTGTGGAGTTTTAAGAGCAGAAGGGTCAATTTCTATGTTTATCCAAAGCAACTGTCTATAGGACTATTGGGCAGGTTTCAGAACCACATCTATTTTGTTCTTCCACACACTTCTAAGGCTTACCACATGGGGGACCTACCAAGAAACAAACATGTTCATCACAACAAAAGAATATTCACACAACAATCATGATTAGAGGAAATATATAAGGTTGGCATTGGAAGAGATGTGCTGTCCCTACTCAACATTAATAAAGGAGTTGGAGACATGCTCCCGCCCTCACCCTGGCTCTAAGCAGATACACAGCAGCATCTGACCTAGTGCACCCACACCCTTCTTCTGTCCAGCAGGATGGATCACTGAGAAGACTGACACAGCAGAAGCAAAATGTCACCATCAATCCTAACAAAATTAACAGTGACTCATACCACCACAGCCTCTTTTTCAACAGCCAGTGAGAGCAAAAAAAACTTAAAACTTTGCTACCAAGAGAAGGTTCTGAGAGAGACTCCTCTTCATGTTGCCAACTTTTCTATTTTCTTAAGGGTGAAAATGAAGTCAACCCAGTTTCGTACAAAATGTCACCTTTCAAAAATGGGAACAGACAGTGAAAAGAAACTGTGTCAAATGAAACACATGATGAACATCATCAACCAGTAGTGAGTCTACTCAAACCATGATGCCTGTGGCTTCTGTGTTTCTCCAGTTAAACAAAGGTGAGAAACAAGGATGGATACCCACCTGCCATACTATGGATAAAGGGTTTCCAGAGAGAGGAAGTTAGGTACTGTACAGCTGTGATTTGCAAAATGACTGAGGGTAAGGGCACAGCATCTGATTAACATAAAGACCGAAGCACAGCTACACGTTGAGATCTTGACTTTCTCTCACCTCAACAGGAAACCTCCTGCCATTGATGCTGTGTTCAGAGCCCGCTGAGCCATTGCTGTGGCCCCAGTGAAATTCCACCTTCTCAGCTTTGAATCTGCCAGGTAGACCAGCTCCACTGACAAAATAGTCGTCTTTCAGAAGGATGGCGACTGTGTGAAACAAATGAGAAGAGAGGAAAACAAAGTGAGTTTCAAAACCAAATGGAGTTTTTCTGTTACTTCTAATAAAGTTCACCATTACCATGATATGAATTATGTCCTCATGTACCTATGAAAAAATATGTTGAACACACCCGCCTGAATAAATTAGTTCATTCTAGCTGCAGAATGCTCTCAGAGCACCAGTTGGCCCTAAATCATGATACTTTCCAGAGAATGATCTCAGAATTACTTATCCATTTAACAGATTTAAAAAAAAAAATGGAAACAATGACAGAAAAAGTCGCTCTGAATCAGTGTCTCCTAAAACTGCTTGATGGTCAAAATCATCTAGAGAGCAAGATTTTTCTTTTTAAGCACTGATTCATGGGGCTACCCCAAGATTCAAGGTCTGGAACAAGAGAGGAAATATATATGATCAGCCAGATGCAATAGGCATGTTTCTTTGGTCAGAAAATGTAGGCAAGATATCAGGAAATAAAAATTTGTGGGTGCTTCCAATATCAAGGCAACAGTAAGTGGGAAGACAGTTGGGAGTCTGTATTTAATAACAGTACCCAGGAAAGTGTAATGCAAAAATCTACTCTTGAAGTCACTCAAATACTGGCAGCTAACTCGTTTTCTTGACTGTTTCTTTTACTTTCAAGCAAAAAAATATTTTCCCTTAACCCATCCAAAGAATACCTGAAAGCATCCGCAACATAGGGAACCTCAACTAAATTCCAACCCTAAATTTCAAAAATATACTGCTCTTTCTTGAAATACAGGAAGGAGAAATTGAGAATAACTTGGATTTACACTGACAAAAAATATTTTTCCAAAAGGAATATAATGTCTAAATGCATAAAAAACAAATTCTATTCAAGAGATATATTCCCTTTTTTTGTTTCTCTAGAAGTGGATTCATTCATTCATTCATTCAATAAATACTTATTGGCTGCTAAACACATGTAAGGTGCCAAACAATATACCGAATGGTTTGTGATCAAAAGCCAAGCTTGTGTAAGCCATGGGAAAGTACTTATCCTCATTGTCTCCTCTTCCTAAAGAGATCCTAGTTAGAGCTTTAGCGAGAAATCCTGCATGAAAATTAGGTCTCCATAAAAGATAGGGACTAGGCTAATGACCCATTTCTAGAATACTGCAATTAGTTTCAGTACTTCTCTATATAAAGGAAGCATTAAAAGCAAGTGAAGGAACCTTCTCATATAAATCCCTTTTTATTGCATTCAAAAGGCAGTTTTTCTCCAACTTCTGAAAAAATATACAAGGAATGCTCAATTAGTAGAACAGCAAATTAAAGGATAAAATGAAGTAAAAGTAAGTGTTTCTTGTGCCAATTAAACATGCTACAGCACTGTGCCACCTTCACTCTGTGTTGGGCATGTTTTAGAACAGGGGTCGTAAACTTTTCCTGTAAAGGGCCAGTTGGTAAATATTTTAGGCTTTGCAGGCCAATTGGTCTCTACTGTAACTACTCAATCTTGTCTTTATAGCACAGAAGCAGCCACAGATAATACTTAAATGAATGGGTGAGGCTATGATCCAATAAACCTTTATTTAACCACACTGATATTTAAATTTGACAAAATTTTCAACGTGTCATGAAATATTACCGACTTTTCCTTTTCAAATCATTTAAAAATGTAAAAATGGGAAACTTATCATTGTGTGACCCTTAAAATATAATATCTTAGAAGATAATATCTAAAATCTTATATAAAATATATCTATATATACAGATATAATAAAATATCTTCTAAAATATTATATTATACCAACCACATACCTTTAGTTCTGATGTCAAAACATCTAGGCATTAGCTCAGTAGTGTTTCAAACACTGTTGATTCTTCTCAGCCAGTTATAAGTTCCATACATAACATTTTGCATCCACAGGACGAAGGCAAAACGTTTTGATTGCATCTGTTACAATACACCCAGGGAATCAGCAGCATCTTATAAATATTTGATTTTACCTAAATCATTTATATCTCTGTCAGGGGTCATTTTACTTGTTTTATATGAATAATTAAAAGCATAATTAGGGAACTGTACAATCTGAAACATTAATCTCATTTTTCATTTTACAGTGTTTCTCACCAGAGCACACAGCATGTTACATGTCCACCCACCCCTTCCAAAAATGTCTCATATTTTTGTTTACACACAAAACTGGAATGAGAGAACTTCCCCAGCTAGCACATTTTCTGATGACCAGTGATAACATTGAACTGTTTGAAACAGAATATACCGAAGGCAGTCACTGCAGAGCACAAGATGTCATGCATATGAGCTCAAGACATGTTGGAATTCCATTCTGCCACTTAACAGTGGTAACCTCAGGAAGGTTACCCAACTTCTCTGTGCCTCAGTTTCTATCACTGTTCAAATGGTGATAATTACTGCAGTGCCTACCTGGCTGGGCTATTTTGACACCTGGAGAAAAATCACACTGGGAAAGCAGATGATCCAGGGCCAGGAAGCCAGCAAACACATATTCAGTGGTGGTTATTTCCAAACTCATTTCTAGAATCAAGGGTGGAGCTCCTGGACAGCACGGAAGACTGGCCACACAGGTGTAACTCTCTGTTTTCAGAGAAAGTTATACTTTAAAGCAACACTTTCTCACACAATAACAAGTGTCATTAGGCAGGGACAATAGGAAGAGCGGGGGTGGCTCAAATACTATTTGGGAGGAGATCTTTTATTTTACTTTTTTTGAGATGGCATCTACCTCTGTCGGTTCTGAAGAGCAGGCAAGTGAGAAGGCTTCTCAAGAAAATGTTCAAAACCTAAAGCAATATGTAAACATTTGCATGCCAAAAAGGATGTGACTCTGGTCTCCTTTTTCTCTGGATGCTTCTCTCTCTGGATGTCTTTTCCCACATGTCTTCCTCCCTTCTGTTGCCTAGGTCTGCACCGTTCTTTCTACATTCTAAGTTCTCTGTAATCTGGCACCGAAGTCTGCCCTGGGTAAGAATATACAGGCAGAAACAGCAATAAGATACCATTTGGAGTCTATCAAATTGGTAAGGACTTTTTTTTTTTTTTTTTTTGGAGACAGAGTCTCGCTCTGTTGCCCAGGCTGGAGCGCAATGATGTGATCACCGCCCACTGCAACCTCAGCTTCCTGGGTTCAAGTGATTCTCCTGCCTCAGTGTCCTGAGTAGCCATGCTCAAATAATTTTTGTATTTTTAGTAGAGACAGGGTTTCACCATGTTAGCCAGGCTGGTCTCGAACTCCTGACCTCAAGAGATTCACCCACCTTGGCCTCCCAAAGTGTCGAGATTACACAGGTGTGAGTCACTGTGCCCAGCCCGGGCCTGGGGGGGAGATCTTAAGTATTGAGTAGATGCTTTTAGTTCACTAAAACAGAATAAAAAAAGATACTGCCTTTTCTGAATTATTTCTATCTTTTTGATTATATCAAAGAAAAGAAAATCATAGTTGGGTGCTAATATAACCCACATAGTTCCCTGATACTCATTCATTTCCCACTTTTACTCAAGAATAAGCATAACCCTAAAATTTAATAACATGAGCAAGATTGATTTATTTTTGTAGATTATGGACATATTTCTAGCAGTAAGTCTCTACCAGTCAAACAGAACTGGTTTTTCCAATAATGGTGTTGATAAAGAGTTTTCTTTTAAAATCAATTCATTTAATCAAAATGAAATAAATAAATTAGAAGAAAACGGTACTACAAAAATAATAAATACAAATAAAATTTAATCTAAAAATTAAAACAACAGCAGGAAAAGTTGAATCTGGATAAGGCACAAACTGGAAGGTGCCAAGCTAACAGCTAAAGACAGGAGAACAATGAATGGTGTTACAGACTGAATGTTTTTGTCCCTGGAAACTCACAAATTGAAACCCCAATCCCCCATGTAATGGTATGATGCGTCAGGGCCTTTGGGAGGTGATTAGGCCATGAGGGTGGAACCCTCGTGAATGGGATTAGTGCACTTCAAAACGAGATCCCCAGGCCAGGCACGGTGGCTTGTGCTTATAACCCCAGCGCTTTGGGAGGCTGAGGGGGGCGGATCACCTGAGGTTAGGAGTTTGAGACCAGCCTGGCCAACATGGTGAAATCACGTCTCTACTAAAAGTACAAAAGGCTAGCCGGGTGTGGTGGCGGGCACCTGTAATCCCAGCTACTTGGCAGGCTGAGGCAGGAAAATCACTTGAACCCAGGAGGCGGAGGCTGCGGTGATCGAGATAATGCCACTGCACTCCAGCCTAGGTGACAGAATGAGATATCATCCAAAAAAAAAGAAAAAAAGAGGCCTCCAGCCAGCTGCCTTCCCTTCCACCATGGAATGTGAGAAGGTATCATCTATGAATCAGAAAGCAGGCCCTCACCAGATACTGAATCTGCTGGTGCCTTAATCTTGGACCTCCAGCCTCCAGAACTCTGAGAAATGTTTATTGTTTAGGCCACCAGTTTATGTTATTTTGTTACAGCAGCCTGAACTAACTAGGACAGATGGGCTAAGAGCAAAGACAGGAAAGGTCTATGTGGTGAATGAAGTTTCTAGAACTATCCTTGCTGTGATTAATGTAGATTGTGATGAAATCAAAGCAGAATGATGGAGACAGTAGAAGAAGCTGGAAGCTTCAAATTCAGGGTTTCTTAACCTAGAGGCCAACAGTCCATAGCCGTGGCTACCTATGGGCTCTGGAGGTCTATACCTTCTTGATACAAGAAGTAAATTTCTGAGCATGGGGCACACGTGAAGCTTAGGAGCTGGACTCTGTAGCCAGTAAGTCCAAACTTGAATCCTAGTTCTGCCACTGTCCACTTACGAGAAAGTTAATGCACTTCTTGGTGCCTTCGTTCCTATTCTGTAAAATTGGAATAAGATAGCAGCTACTTCACAGGTTTGTTAAGGGGTTCACAAGGGCTGATATACGACGAATGCTCACAGCAGCAATTCATACACATCATAGAATAGCACTGGTGTTATGCAACCTTTAGGAAGGTTATTATCCTAGGGAAGGATCCACAGATTTCACCAGATTCTCCCTATGTCTGGGGCTCCCCATGATGTAAAGACGCTCCAGGCTATGCAAAGGGCCAGGGCAAAGCGTGGGTCAGGTCACATCTTAAATAAGGAATTAGTTTTCTCCTGAACTGGAAGGGTTGACCAAGTACCTGGCATTCATAGCATTCTTTGCAGGACATCCCCCAACTGTTTATAAATTAAATTCAACATGTGTGTATAACACAGGCTAAAGCAAATGTTCACACCAAAATCTGAGTAAACAGCAGCATGTGCTAAAAAGTAAAGAAAAATGGATGACAGGAAAACTAGCAGCTTACTATCATATCCTCCTACCCTGATGCACCGTTGCCAAGAGTATAAGGTAGAAAAAAAAGCCTACCATTATTGGACCCTAATGATGGGATCCCCAGACCACCTTCCACAATATTTGTGACATCAGAGGGTTGCCCTGGGACTCCTGGTAAAAGGGAAACGCTGTTGTCTGAAAGTCAGAATGCACTGGCTCTAGTTCCAGCCTTCCACTAATTTCCCTGTAGACATTGACATTCATGTTTTTCAAACACTCAACAAATATTTACTGAGTAATGACTGGCAGAAAAAGGTGGGTAAATCAGACACAACTCTTGCCCTTATGGAACTTACAGCCGATGGGAAGGACAGGTCCCAAGAACTAAACAGACAACAGAAGCAAACCTGCTAGTGGGACAAGGGGTAGCACCTGAGCATCGAACCCCAGATGAGAGAAGGGGAGGGTGTCATGGTCTGAGCTGAGAGTTAAAGGAGCTACCCCGGGGAAGTGCCAACAAGATGGGAGAACATCAAGAAAGAATCAATGGCCCTGTGGTAGTGGTAACGAGTAAGAGAAAGCCAAGGTGACAGGTACCCAGAGAGCAGGATGGGACACGAGGACAGAGCATGAGGCACGGACAGTGAGCAGTCTGTGTTTGTCCCAAGAGAAATGGGAAGTCCTTGATATGCTTGAGAGAGAGAACAACAAAGAGGGAGAGACAGACAGGCAAGATCAGATTAGGGAACTAAGTAGATTACTCTGGCTACTCTGTGGAGAAGGCCTGGGAGGAAAGCAATGCTGTCAGTAGAAATAAGTGAGGAGCTGATAGCAGTAATCCAGTAAAGAGTCACTGGACGTGCTGAGTAAGAGCAACCTCAGATATCCAAGAGATGACAAACTGCAGGATTATCCTGGGTCTCAGTTAACTCACTGCTAAACTGAGTGAGATGAACAAGGTGGATTAGTTAACACTTTTAACCATATAAGACACGAAAGATGGAGGAGTCTAGCAGAGAACGCTGTACCCTAAAACAGAAAAGGTTCTTCAAAAAATGGCCTGTAACATTCAGGGTAATTGGTTAATGAGGCTTCTGTCTACACAGAAACTAGTTCCTACTACTGAACTTGGGGACTGAGGCTGTGGGGATAACAAAGAAAATGGAGCTTAGCAGACAGGAAACACAGCTTGCAGAGTATCTAGCCAAAGAGTGACCCAGTGAAATAGCTCCAAGCTCAATTCCAGGGTTCAGGCAAAGCTGGATAGTATTAGAATGAAAGAACCAAAGAATGTGGGCCTTTGAAACAGGAAAATGTATAAAGTAGAGCAAAAGCACACTTAGCATTCCCCAAATAAAGAATGGATTTTAAAAATTAAACTTACATTTTCTTTCTTTGGGCAACCTTAAGCTAACCAGAGATGCCCCAGGGTACTACAAAGACACTGTTTATATTAGACACGCCCAATATAAACAATGCCAAGGGCCCAGATGTTTCCAAATGTCTGTCTACTTGGCTGATGTTCTGCTCTTAATCAGAAGCTTGGCAGTCTCTTTGTAGGTGAAATGACCTATTCATCAGTGCCATAAACAAAACTCAGAGTAAAAAAGCAACTGTTGATCAAGGAATGATGACTCCACAATGGTCTACCATCATCATCCCATATTTACACCTATTAAGGATCATTACATTGAGGAGGCTACTGGAAGCGTTATAATTAAAAATAAAAGTAATGATTGGTACCAGGTGAGTTTGAAACCCTCCCAGAAATACATTTGGGGAATCATTCATGTATTTCACTTTTCCAGGCCCTCCCCATCCAATATTATCAGGGATAAGAGAGGTTTTATTACAATAAGAACACATTTAGGTTATTATTGTCAATATCAAAATCTACTCCACAGATACAACAAATAAAAACATTTTTTAAACTTCAGTTCTCTTCTATGGCCAGCTCTAAGGAAAGAAGACAGGAAGAAGGGAGAGAAGGGGGCCAATGCTAGGAGCAAGGAGTGAAAACAGGCAGAATCAGGCAGAGAGACAGAGACATGCCCCAGCGGAGGCAAATGCAAGAAGACACAGGAGGAAATGCGGGAGAGAATGAAACAACAAAAAATGTAAAGGCTCGTGGAGAGATCCGTAGAGAAAGACATATCGAGTCCAACAGAATACAAAGAATAGTCAGAGGTTGCAGTGAGCAGAGATTGCACCACTGCACTCCAGCTTGGAGACAGAGTGAGACTCCATCAAAAAAAGAAAAAGAAAAAGAAGGAGGGAGGGAGAGAGGGAGGGAAGGAAGGAAGGAAGGAAGGAAGGAAGGAAGGAAGGAAGGAAGGAAGGAAGGAAGGAAGGAAGGCGGGCGGGCAGGCAGGCGGAAAGCCTAGACTATCAGAAACATATGAAGACACACACATACACAATACCTACACACCCCCATACCCACACACCCACACCCCCCTCACACACACACAAACACACTTTTCCTAGAAACTTCCTAACCAATCTCTTGATTACTAAAGGCATCCGTGTTACACTTGAGCAACCATGCCACTGTTGGATCACATCTTGCATGAGGGCTAGGCACAAAAGTCCATCAGTTTTGGAGGGAAATCAGACATCATGAAGATTGCTATTGAAAACCTTGTAATGAGCCAGGCGCAGTGGCTCATGCCTGTAATCCCAGCACTTTGGGTGGCCGAGGTGGGGCAGATTGCTTGAGGCCGGGAGTTTGAGACCAGCCTGGCCAACATGGAGAAACCCTGTTTCTACTAAAAATACAAAAATGAACTTGGCTTGGTGGCATGCACCTGTAATTCCAGCTACTTGGGAGGCTGGGACATAAGAATCACTTGAACCTAGGAGACGGAGGTTGCAGTGAACCAAGATGGTGACATTGCATTCCAGCCTGGGCAACATAGCAAGACTCTGTCTCAAAAAAAAAAAAAAAAAAAAAAGAAAGAAAGAAAAGAAAAAAGAAAAAAGAAAAAAAAAACCTGTAAGGTACCCATCTAAAGTGGTAGCCTGGTGCTGACTCTCAGTAAGGCTCACACATCCTTGTCTCCACTGACCTTGGAAGAGACAAGCGGCTCTTCAGGGCTGCAGAGAGGCAGCAGTCAACAGGGCAAAGAGTATCTTTCAACTCCAGATACTTGCTTGACCTTGGGGAGGGGTAGTTACCCCTGGCCTGTGTCTGAGCAGAGCAGCAGAGCTACATCCTCCTCCAACACTTAGCTTGGGTCACAAGCTCAGTCAGGGAAATAGCATGTGGAAGTGACCAAGGTTGTTAAGATTTTATTTTTCTCTTTTTACCAGCTTGCAATTAGTTTGTTCATTATTTAGCTTGCCTCTGTGTGCTCTTAAGTTGCTACTCTACTAAAAACTTCTAAGAGCCAGGTAAAGTAAACTCAATGCAACAGTGTCCTACTACTTGCCTTACTTTTATGGGCTCAGTAACATACTAGAAAATGACTCTTGACTTCCCCATCTATACATAGTTTCCCTCCCGTTGATTCTTGTGTGAATTGAATAACCATATTTTGAATCCACCTGTATCACAGGCACTATGGCATATGCAGACAAATAGGGAAGAATGTAGGCAAAGAAAAAATATAATAAACCAATACAATGTGAGAAGATGAAAGTAGCATGCCTTGTGGTAAACACATTTACTATTTGTCCTCAGTGTGGGATATAAGAAAAAGTAGTTTAAAAAAATAAAATAAAAATAAAATAAAAACCCTCCCAATAGTTAAAATTCATAGAAGGCCACGTCTTATTAACATACATCAGAAGCACCGTCTAAGTATTAAATTCTGATCATTTTGCTGGAAGCTAATGCTAGGAACAGCAAGATTGTCTTGAAATGTTCTTGATGAATGCATTACCTTTTCATTCTACAAAAATGAAAGAAAGGGAAATAACTTTAGATGAAATCAAATGGGAACTGGCACAATAGATAGTTACGGCTCCTCAGGAAGAAATAGAGAGATGCTATCTGTCTTGTGAAGATATTTTAGACAACTTTCGAGAAGTGGGCTAGGTACAACCAAGTTGCTCTATTGATTATGCTGGATAGGATATATAGCACTCTCAGGGGATTAAGACAGATCTGAACATTTAAGCTGTTTTATGGGAGAGTTACTGTCTGTATGTAATAGGCCGCTTTAAATATTAACTTTCTATATTCATATTTTAATATACAAAAGACAGAGTCTATTTTACAGATAAGTGACCTGTAAATTTCCATCAGAAAAAAATAAATACTCCCTCTTGAATTTATTTCCTGGAATATAAAGTTCCACAAAATACTCTAAAATACTTTTAGGTATGCAAGATAGATATAAAATGGATGGCACAAAGACAGACCATGTGGCTTATGATACATGAATTTTTTTAAATTAAACTTTTAATTTTTCTCAGAATAGCAGATTCACATGCAGTTGTAAGAAATAATGCACAGATACCATGAGCCCTTTAACCCATTTCTCTTAATTGTACAATCTTTCAAAACTAGTACAGTGGGCCGGGCACGGAGGCTCATGCGTGTAATCCCAGCACTTTGGGAGGCAGAAGTGGGCGGATCACCTGAGGTTGGGAGTTCGAGACCAGCCTGACCAACATGGAGCAACCCCGTCTCTACTAAAAATATAAAAAATTAGCCGGGTGTGGTGGCGCATGCCTGTAATCCCAGCTACTCAGGAGGCTGAGGCAGGAGAATTGCTTAAACCCGGGAGGCGGAGGTTGCGGTGAGCTGAGATCACACCATTGCACTCCAGCCTGGGCAACAAGATCAAAACTCCATCTCAAAAAAATAAATAAATAAACCAAACAAACAACAACAAAAAAAACTATAGTACAGTGACAGGTGGTTTCTTAAAAAAAAAAAAGAAATAGGTTACCTATCAATATTATTCAATGTGGAAATTATCAACCCCACCCTAATTTAGCCTGCACTAATATGCACTGTTCAGTTGAATTTATATGTTCCAGACAAAACAGAGCAAATAAATACTCATTTCTCCAAAATTCTAAAAAATTTATGAACTAATGTGGCGTGTTAAGATCCACAGAATAGCCAAGCATGGTGGCTCATGCCTGTAATCCTAGCATTTTGGGAGGCTGAGGCAGGCAGATCACTTGAAGCCAGGAGCTCAAGACCAGCCTGGCCAACGTGGCAAAACCTTGTCTCTACTAAAAATACAAAAATTAGCCGGGCATGGCCGGGCACGGTGGCTCACGCCTGTAATCCCAGCACTTTGGGAGGCTGAGACGGGCAGATCACTTGAAGTCAGGAGTTCCAGAGCAGTCTGGCCAGCATGGTGAAATCCTGTCTCTACTAAAAATACAGAAATTAGCCAGGGGTGGTGGCGCGCACTCCTGTATTCCCAGCTACTCGGGTTGCTGAGGTGGGAGAATTGCTTCAACCCGGGAGGCGGAGGTTGCAGTGAGCCGAGATTGCACCAATGCACTGCGGCCTGGGTGACAAGAGCGAGACTCCGTCTCAAAAAAAAAATTAGCCGGGCATGGAGGTGGCTGTCTGTAATCCCAGTTACTCAGGCCGATGAGGCACGGAAACTGCTTGAACCCGGGAGGCAGAGGTTGCAATGAGCTGAGATCATGCCAACTGAACTCCAGCCCGGGCAACAGAGTGAGACCGTCTCAGAAAAAAAGACCTACCAAATGAAGGAAGTTTCTATTAGTGTTAAAACAAAACAATACAAGTTGATTTCTGCACCCAAGTTTCTAAACCACCATAAGTTAAAACTCTTTCAAGAGATTAAAAAAAAAAATGCAAAAATGCATGTTCTTTGTTTCAAATTGCATATAACTGGTTGTCACTTTTTAAAAACCCTTCCTACAGAATCATCTTAGAGTATTTACAATATATTGGCCTATCTAATATTATGTAGTGAATTTTACAGTAATAAGTTGTATGAGAGTAACAAAGATCTATTTCTGCTTCTCAGAACACTGTGCTTCTGAAATTTCTGAGACTGATGGCTTCGTATTTGGATAGCTTTGCTCTAAAATCAAGTGCATGCACTCAGAGATATGCAACAGGTTGTGGATCACTCTAGGAAGCCAGGAGAGTGACACAGATTGATAATCAGCTTCTGGAAGACCAAGGTCATGAATCAGCTTGCATCGAGTGAACCCTACATACGTCTAAAACCTGTCATTGGTGATACGAAGCTGAAAGCTGTCAATGAAACGTGTTATCTTTGCCGAAGGCTGTCAAGCGTTGCAAGTCAAGTAGAAAACCGTATCAGAGAGCCCAGTGATTGTCTTTGACAGCCTTCCAGAATGTGGTGCTGAGGTGGTACTCAGTTCCAATCTGATTGCACCCAGTGTGGCAAAGCTCTCGCCCACTACATTTAGATGGTATGAAGAGAAATAATCTCATTGCGGTTATCCTAAGAACACCATATTTAAAACATAAAGTAGGGCAACTGATAGGTAAATTCTGAATTGTAACAATAAGCACACAATCTGTGCTGGGGTGGTAGAGAGGTGAGGATGAAAAGGTACGTACAGGCCAGGTGCAGTGGCTCATGCCTGTAATCCCAGCACTTTGGGAGGTCGAGGCGAGGAGATCACCTGAGGTCAGGAGTTCGAGACCAGTCAGGCCAACATGGCAAAATTCCGTCTCTACTAAAAACACAAAAACTAGCTGGGGGTTGTGGCACATGCCTGTAATCCCAGCTACTTGGGAGGCTGAGGCAGGAGAATCGCTTGAACCTAGGAGGTGGAGGTTGCAGTGAACCATGATCATGCCACTGCACTCCAGCCCGGGCAACAGAGTGAGACTCCGTCTCAAAAATTTAAAAAATTACGTACAAATAACATTATTGGATCACCAGTTTTTTCTACGCAGCTACTCATATAGATGAATCAAGGTACAGGAGAGGGTCACCTGCTATAACACAGGAAGCAGAATTGTTTCTGGGGGCATTATAAAAAAGGCCCAAAGCCAGGAATCACTGCGCTAAGTGAGTGGGAAGCAATTCTATGAACATGCCAGGCAAACTCAAAGCAATCAGCTATGAATAATCTCAAATGATGGTTTGGAGAAAGAAAGAAAATGGATCCCTAAAGCTGCCCATTTAGCCAGTTAGGTTATTTAAAAAAAAAAAAAAAAAGGCAACTTTGTGACCTACAACATGAATAGCACCAAAGGGCTAGGAGCTAAGTCATTTTAGCCCAGCATGAGGGCTCTGACAGCCAAGGCTCCTGAAAGGGATTACTAACAGTGGTTCACAGTGACATCCTTGGTTACAAAGGGTTCACTTTAAGAAGAGAAAGAGAAAAAAAAACTTGCTTTAATGGGCCAAAGTCATAAGTAGTTAAGTAATAAGAGTGAAAAATATCTTTAGGCATCAACAGAACCCCAGGTAGCACTAAGCAGAGATGTAATATAACATCCCAGAGCTTATTTTCAGATCGTACAGTGGAGCACAGCAAGGCATTCTCTGGTACTTACAAGGACAATCTATAAACTGATATTTGCACAACAGTAATTGAGAGGGAGGCAGCTCTTCGCATTAGCAATGGTAAAAAGACGATGCTGCATATTCACAAATCCCAAAATGACAAGTGGAAGAATTGAATTGCTGGTCTGATACACAAAGGGATGAGACAGTTCATCTGTACTCGGAAGTAATAAAAAATATTAATAAAGCAAAATCTCAAGAAAGATAAGAATTCTGTTTCCATTTGCATATTTGGCACAATGTTACCTGATAGAACTTTCTGCAATGAGAGAATGTCCTCTGTCTGGGCTGCCCAATAGGGTAGTCACTAGCCGTATGTGGCAGATAAGCACGTGAAATGTACCTAATACAACTGAGGGACCAAATTTTAATATTATTTAATTTTTAATTAAAACTTAAATGGAAATAGTCACATGTGGCTAGTGGCTACTAGATTGGGTAGCTTTCTGAAAGTCCTTCTACATACCTTACATCTACTAACTCATTTAATCACTACTACCCTAGGTCTAGATGTATAATACTTTATTATCTATAGTTTATATTTTTAAAAAAATGAAGACACAGGGTGATTAGCCACAGAGTGATTTACTGAGTTACATAACTTGTTCTGAAACTAAGGACTGATTTAGGCTCCCCACAGCAATGTGCACTATTTAAGGAGCAAGTCATGGTTAAGGAAAACACCAGAGACATCCAAAAATAGTTCCTGTTGCTCTGTGGACAAATAAAGAAGCCATTGTCTACCTGTTTTCCCTGTGTTTTTCATCCAGGTTTTGTTAGAAGACTCATTGTCGAAGCCATCGAGTTGCAGTTCCTGGTATTCTTCCCCAACACGCGCATACTGGTCTAAAATGTCAATAGGAGACTGGTGACGGCCCCCACAGCTGACACTAGACGTGACCCAGTGCTCAGGACCATAGGCACCTGTTGAAAGAAGACAACACTTCAATCCTCATGGTTCAAGGGTCAGGGATGAAATGAATAAATCTTAGGAAGCTGAGCACTGCATCTCTCAACATGTCCCCAATCCAAAGAGGTGAATGTACTGAAAACTATGAATCAAAGCCATTGGCCTGATGTGACAAGAAGATTTCAGAAAAGATGTTACTTAAGTTAGTTTTGCTTCTTGATTTACAATCAAACATTTGCTAACTTTATCTTTAATCAGGTTAAGAGAGTTGTGTAGAAGGGCTATTAGGGTTGTCCATATTTCTGACAATTTTTAAATGTTTCCTAAAATAAGCAGAGCATTTATTCACAAAAAAAGCACCTTGATCGAGTTAGCATGTTTTGCTATTGTGGGCAATATCCTAAATACAACTTTCTTCTTAGCCCATAAAAGACTGTAAACATGAAAAAGGGAAAAAAAATTAAAGGCAACAGAAAACTAGATGAGAGGCATTACAAATCATGGAGGCAATAAAGGCAGGTTTTTCCTTTGGCTAATTGTGAAAGATTTTTCAGTTTGGCCCTCATTTGTACACTTGAGTGTTAAGACACTCATCTCTCCTTTTCAATCCTTCTCTCTCGTAGAAAATGCAGGTATAAAGTTACCTTCAGACTGGACTCTGTACTCATATAAATAAAGAATTTGGGGGGACATATGCCACAGAAATAAATGAAGAAAGCACAACCATAAAGCATAATTCTAATAGGTACCAATCAGGTATAAATACAGAAAACACACTGCATTTGCCTCCCTGTCCTATTTGGAAATGAAATATTATGGGAGCAGTTTCTATTACGTTGACTACAGGCTCTTAGACTTTTCTGCATCCTACTTTTAACCTTGTTGACACAACAAAGCGGGAGTAGCCTGCTGAAACAACTTTTACTGGAAAGATTAAGACTGAATCCTTTATTGAGAATTAGATAAGAAAAAAACTTCACAATTTTTAGCAAGTAAAACACAGGCTTCCCAATGAGAAAGCTTAATGTGTGTATATACATTCATCTACAGAAATACTGGTAGATGGGTGGGGATTTTTGTGCCTCCTGTATACCTAGCCTCATACAATGGAAGACACAAAGAAATCTTGTTTAGTTTATTAGTAGGTAAGTCTAACTACTAGCCTTGTTAGTTTAGTAGTAGATAAACCTGCCTACCACTAAATAAGAGTCCACATGAGTGGCTGCCACCCAATCATTTGCCATGGCTTTCCCCATTCCCCCCAAACTGGTAACAGCTCACAGTAGATATAAACAATGGTACAAGAAAAATGGGACAATCACAGAAAGTATTTTCCATTATGGTAAGGGAGGTTTCATGGCTGCAAGAGCAATGGATATAGCTCCTTAAAAATGATGCATATTTTTGCTATCTGGAAAATACCGCAGCCTCACTCTAATGCTTCAGTCATTCTCCCTAATCCTCATCCCAAAGAGTAAGATTAAAAACAGACTATCCAAATGAACATGTTCACTGACTGGCAAAGGTCTAGCAACCTTGGGGCACTTTTAAGTCATTTATAAGTGTCGCGCTACTATCCGGAAAAAGTTCACATCACCATTTTCTTCACTGCACGATTACAACTGTCATAGGCTTTTCACTCATGTATTTTTTTACCTCTTTGTCAAATTCCCTATGACTGTGATGATTCACAAAGGGATAGTATGCATTTGCCATATATTTAGCCAAATTTTATTTTGGCCAAACTTTATTTTCATCTTGCATCTACATATTTGGAGAAAAAAGAAAAAAAAGGAGACGAACGAGACGTAAGGAATGGCTCTAATTATCCTGTCTACAGCTTAAATTTTCTTCCAGATGCCAAAAGAATCCATTGAAAAACCAAATAAAGTGATTGTTGATTTATTAGATGGCTGACCAAAATAGGAATTTTACTTAGCCACAATTGAGTTTGTAAATCCAAATTATGGAATCTAAATGTTTTAATATCATAATATCATATGTGTATGTATGCATGCCTTCTAGAAACTTACAGTACAATAAAATTACACTCAACAGAGAAAAATGATATGGGACACAGTAAAATAAATCCAAATACATATGACTCAAATAATAGATGCAAGCCATCATTTGTAAAAACAGATACCTGATAATTCTCCTCCTACTACTAACAATTTAAAAAATACTCTGCGATGTCAGAAAAGTACTTGCCATTCATATTAGTTCTCATAACCTTCCAGACATGGGTAAAATACAATTTATCACTCTATAAAAATATAATCTGGGTTCATACCAGTGGGATTCATTTATTCACTGGTAACAATCTGAAGCTTTAAGCCAACTACATGCTTGCTTTCACACTTCCACCCAATATACATTCAAGTGCAATTTTAATTGAAACTGATCTTCCACTTCAGATTTCAAATTAATTCTTCTTTGGAGTACTTCATGCTTCAGACACCCTTGCCTTGCAAAAACCCCTATGTCATTAGCAGAGGAAATAGAACACTTTTTCCAAGCTTGCAGATATTGATTATCTATTCTCACATCGAAGCACCATTGCCATTCCACACTGTATAAATCTCTTCAGTGTTAAGACACTTTATAAAAGACTGAGAATTATACCATTAATCATTTGCAGTTCCACAAGACTCATAGTATTGAATGCTTTGTTTTTCACAAATTTGAATAAATACTTTTAAGTAAAAGAAAAAAAAAAGATACTAAATAAAGACTATGGTTAACTTAAACCTAGTTGGGAAGAGATGAACACTTAACAAGAAGCCTTCCTCTCTCAGACATGATATTACCCATCTAAAATAAGAATAAGAAGTCACTTGCACTTTAGTTTCCTCTTACTGACTCTTTCTTAGAAGTAACAAGACATCTGTATTTTGGCAGCAAGATCCTTCTGAGTGGCTCACCAACTCCAACACGTCAATCTAGTACACAAGTCCGTGTTCTCAAAAGGGAAGAGGTAAGGGCGGGGTAGAAAACACAGGGCAATTTGGGCTGCCAAAAGTAATTTCCTGTTCACCTGATGAAAGTCTTAAAGAAATGAGATTTTGATTGAGACATACTGCCAACCTCTAAGTACTAAGGGAATGTAATAGTGTTTCTCATTCAACATGTGATGACAAATATATCCTTTTTAATGAATTCAATAAACACATCTGAAACCCCTGGCTAAAAGTTTGATCTCAGGGTAAACGTCCCTTCGTGAGAGATACACAGGGGTTCTTGGTTTCCTTTGGACCCCATTATTACTATTATACAATTTACCATTTATATCTAAATGTCTGTCTTCCCCACTGGTGGTAAACTCTGAGAACTGGTTCCTTCTGTATCTTGTACAACTTCATTCCAATGCCTATCACAGGGGCTCACATACAGTAAGCCCTTAAAACATATTTTTAGGTACAAATGAATGAATTGAAAGAAGAGAGAACTGAAAGAAGACATTAAAGAGTGGCAGAGTTCCACTCTTTAATATGATGATTCAATCATATTAAATATGATGATTGTCGTATTAAATATGATTGTTCAATATGATCATTGTCATATTTATTTTAGTTTGAGTTTACCCATCTATCTACTGACTTCTTGCTAAGTATTCCTCACTCCCTTGGTCTCCAGAGCCAGGATGTCAACTTCAGGAGTAAATACTCCTTTTCGTTCTTCACTAATATATTAAATTCGTTTCAACTGTGACAAGGTAAAATAAGCTGCAAATATGAGATGTCCATGAAAGAATCCATGTGCAAATTTAACAAGCCCAGCAAAGGTGACTATGGCTTTTTAAAGAAAGGGTGCAGTAGAACTCTTGCTTTTGATGCCTTCTGCGAAGCATCATCATTTTTAAACTGCTCTTATTTTTTCTATGCTTTAACAGACCTCTGTAATCAAAGAAGGTCAATCAAAGAAGAAATTTAGTCTTAATGATCAATCCATCACTGTTATCAATTTAAATACAGAATCGACACTTGCTCAGTCCTAGACAGGGCTGAGAAATGGGACATAAGGAGCAGGGCTGCCCCAGTTCCCTTGGACAATTTAAGCTGCCTGTGGCTCACAGCCCCTCCTCTGTACAATGAGGTACCCAGATACCAAAGGGTAGCTGTAAGGATTATATTAGATAATCCATGTGCTTAGAGCATTATCAAACACTAAAAGTTCAGTAAGTGCTGCCCACAATAATTACTGCCTCTGTTACTGGCTTGTAAATGTATAGCAGACTGTCAAGAAACTGACTAGGCAATGGATGAAACAGACATGTAGCCCACCCAACGGCTAAGGCAGGTGGGTGCAAGCATTTCATGGCATGCAAAGGGAGAGGAGGGGCCCCACCTCCCCAGGAGGGAACTTATGGTGGCGGTGACACTTGAGTGAAGTCACTTCCTGCAGTGCAGAGAAGTTTACTAGCCTGTGGTCATCTTACTCAGGCATTTCCCATTTGGGCAGAAGCCAACAGTCAAAAGTAGAGTTCGCCCCTCTGGCAAGAAGAACTTAATCCCATCTTTGGCTAGATTTAGTGAGTAAGTTCCCAGTGGAGAGGCCTAGCAAAAGTCACCTTAGTCAAATGATGAAGGTTAACATCCCCAGTGAGACCACATGGCTATCTTGGACATCTGACAGGAAGTGGTAAGAAGGGCAAATCACCTCCGTGGTATTCTTTCCAAAAATTCACAACCCTGGTATAATCATGGGGAATACATCAGACAAACCCAAATTGGGGAACATTCTATATAATTGACAAACATTCTATATAATTGACAAACACTCCTCAAAAGTGTCAAGGTCATGAGAAAGACTAAAACACTGTCAGAGATCAGAGAAGATTAAGGAGACACAGACAATAAATAGAATGTGGTGCTCTAGATTGAATGGTGGAATCAAAAACAAAAATTAATGGAAAAACTCATGAGCTCTGAGTAAAGTTTGGTGCTCAGTTAATAGTAAACACACCCATGTTGGGTTCCTAGTAGGTCCTTGTCAAAAGGTCATTCTTTTGTGGCTACTCTGACAATGAAATGAAGAAATTATGGAGCAAACTGCATAGAAGCCAAGTAAAATATAAGTTGTGTTAAATAAGTTAAATTTTACTAACCAGGTTTTACTGGATTTACTGGTATGCACTTAGGCCGTGTCTATGGCATGATAGATGAGGGAGATGGGCACTGATTTATGGGTAATACTGGGATGACTGTCATATTCTTTTTGGATAAATGGAGTCTGCAAACACAAAAGACGAAGGAAACAAGAGACTACGGTAAAGAAAATAATCAAGTTCATGGGTGATATTATTTAAGCTTATATAAAAACCTTATATAAAGTTGGAGAAATTCAGTTTTTAAAGCTGTCATTAAGAAAAACATCATTAGCTTAACCTATAGCTCATTTCTGCATTAAAATAATCCACTTCTACCTCCTTAGTGTGCCATTCACAAGTCACTGTATTTTTCTCATTTTGAGATGTTACAATTCAGTAGACTAGCATCAGGAAGACATATTTCCACAGTAGGGAGAATAAATCACACAATTGGAGATTAATTCCAACTGGTCTGTTTAAGGCAGATAGAATTCCTCACATGAAAATAATGGCAAATACTGTAAATCTGGGCTTGAATCTGAGACTTCACTTCATACTCAGTTTCTTTAAGGCAGAGTTAGCCCAAAGAACTTGGTCGACACATATAAATTTTAAATCAATGCTAGTTAATTCTATTCAAACAAATATCATATAAAAATCTGAGAGAAACACCTTAATGTTGCCCTACCATCAGCCCCAGCAATACTACTTGAAAAGTCCAAATAAGGACAAATAAAACTGGTCAACAACAAGAATTTTCTACAATTTAAGCAAACTGTCTCACTTCAGTATAGTTCTCTGTTAATAACTGACCTAAGATAAAAGTTGTATGAGCATAGAAATCATACTTTTGTCTAAAAGCAAGGAATTTCACATACCTATATATGATTCATGTTCCAAACAGTGGTTTCTTTAAATACCTAAGAGGTTCTTTGCTGAAAATAAGCATGTACCTTGAATTTATTTTACCACAATAGATCCAAATAATGGTTCCTATTCACTAATGAAAAGCCATTAAAAATAATGAATTCTGTCTAAATCTAATTAAAAACAAAACTAATATACATGTTATGTGCTGTTTCTAGTCAAATATGCTTATTAATGCCTCTCTCAATAAACTTATATTACAAATATTACCTGAATCCAGGCTTATTACTCTGCATTTTGTTGTCTACTTTTAACCAATAGCAACAATCCAAAAATATGTGTATCATTTTTACCTATTATAATTAATGCTTTTTATCCGAAATCGAATACACAGGTTTAAATTATTCCATGTTTTAATTAAAATCTTTATGGGATTCTGATTACAATTCTTTTGCATTCTCCAGTACTAATAGCTTAATTACTTCTTGTGCATTTATTGTTTGTGTGTACACGAAAAATGGAAAAAGTCTTAAAAGGCATGCATATTACTGCTTGCCACTATTTTTACTTTATTCATATTCAGTTATAAAGCTGCTCAACTTTGTTGATAGAAATATTCTAAATTTTAAACCAGTTAAGAAAATATAAAGTTACTTTGCAAATAATGAAATACACATTTTTTGGTTTTAAATTTAAGGTGTAAAAACTGCAGTACTCCATTTCATATCAATGGTGTGCTTAAAGAAAACTATCAACAACTAACCATAATACCAGAAGTAATATCAGACAATAACACCAGAAATAGAAACTAACTACTTTGTTCATTTTTTAATACCATTATCTGTCTAATTTCCCAGGGTGTCTATTTTAGGACTGGATGTTAAAACTATTTCAGGTAAAATTTCATTCAGTACCAATGCCTAAACTGGAGGTCCCAGACTCTAATCCTGATGGTAAAAAGCTTCTCTGGAGCCTGTTTTACTGTTCTGGAAAAGGAGGGTATTAAAAAGAGTAAAGATGGCAATAATGGCTACCTTTTAGTTCTGAGCCACAGACCTCTAGGCTGAGTAAAGGCTCAAAAGGAGTTGACTGATTAGTGATGCCCGCATGGGTGTATAATATGACATTATTAGAGTGCAAACCATGAATATGCATGCCATCCACACACTGCAAGATTCTGAAGGTCCTTTAAAGACTTAAAAGTCTTTGACCTATGCATGTTTAGGTGTATCTGGGATTTAAAAGTTATATCTTTCAAGTTGAATCCACCCCACATCCAAACATTCATTAAAAATTTCTACCAATAATTGGGATCATTTATTCACCCCAAACCTAACTAGGCTGACTTAAAGTTGTACCAGCTTTATTCCTGCTTCTCATAGATACAACAGGAAACTGGCTTCAACAAGTATCTGAGATACTAACAAAGTTATCACAATTCTTACTAGCCAATGCCAAACATCTTAAGTGTTTATAAAATGGAGATGAGTTCGTTCCAGACCTGAAGTTTTCAACCTTAAAGTTAGGTACACCCCCAAATAGTCAACATTTTGACTAATATGTTCTTTTAGAATCCTGACTTTCCATCGAGACATAATAGAAACAATCATCCAAGGATTAAAAAGGTCATACAACAGAGTACAAAGAGCACTGGGCAAGGTGACTGGCAACTTGAGTTCTAGTTCAAGGCTAACAAGTAAGATTTACCTTGCATGTTGGCTCCAAATAACTCACAAATTGTATGACTAGTTATTCATAAAGACAAGATTAATGAGCAATACCTTTCTAGGGGGACAGTCATGTCACGTATTTGCTCTTTCCATTCCAGTTTCATCTCTGGAGAGTGGACATGAATATGGCAGTGGTGATGTTTTATAAGAATTCAATTTTGTTACATGTAAATTACAGGGTTACATTAGATCACCTCTAAAGCTCCTAAGAGTTCTAAATTCAATCGGAGCACGTCCTGTAATACCTGGAAGAATCAAATAGACACAAAATATTTGTTGATAGTCCAGCTGACCTCCAAACCCCACCAAGTACCTTACTAAAAGTAACCACAAGGATGTGATAAGGGTTTAATAAATGATTTACACCAACAGCATGTCCAACAGTAATTGGCACATACCAAGTACTCACTAAACATGATTATCCATACTTTCCTCTAGGAACACACATCCAAATACTAATATCTAAATGGCATGACCCTGACCCAGCTTCAGAAACAGCACTTGACTAATATATGGCAATTAGTGGAATCTCATCCTCCTTGACAAGAGATTGAATCAGCAAAGGGTGTTAACCCAGGCCTACGCCAGTTAGCGCCTGGAAGATTTCTCAGTTCAGAGGGTGATATGGTTTGGCTATGTCCCCATCCAAATGTCATCTTAAATTGTAGTTCCCATAATCTCCATGTGTCATGGAAGCGACTAGGTGGAGGAAAGTGAGTCATATGGGCGGTTTCCCCCATCCTGTTGCAGTGATACTGACTGAGTTCTCACGAGATCTGACGGTTTTATAAGGGGTCTCCCCCTGTGCTGGGCACTCAATCTCTGTCCTGCCACCCAGTGAAGAGGTGCCTTCTGCCATGACTGTAAGTTCCCCGAGGCCTCCCCAGCCATGTGGAACTATGAGTCAATTGAACCTCTTTTCTTTATAAATTACCCAGTCTCAAGTATTTCTTCACAGCAGCATGAGAACGGACTAATACAGAGGGACTGGTTTAGGTTGGTACTATTCACAAGGCAAGGCCCAAAATTTTGTTCAGAGCCTGTAGGGGAGAAGAGGCCCTCCTCCCTTGAATGTGAATGAAGAAGGAAGGGAGCAGAATGACCTGCAATCAGGAGGGAAGCAGCTGAAGGCCAAAGCTGAAAAGTAAAAAGACAGTAACAAGAGAAAGGGAGGAAAATAGAGAGGAAGATCTGATCAAACCATGTCTGAATTTAAATTTTATCTCTAGACTTTTCAGTTTTAACTGCCTTTGTATTTTAACCCATCTGAGTAGGCTTTGTGCTATTTGTAACTAATAAATATAGGATATAATCAAAATGGTGGTTTAAGAAGACCAACATTTAAATTATTCGATGTTTTCACTAAGACGAAAATGTCAAATTATAAAGACAAAAATCAGGAATGCATTCTGGATGGAATATATAAAAATAACAACCCTAAATTCCCTCCTCCTTCTCCCTCTTTCTTCCTATCTTCTTTCCCTATAAGAGAAGGACGAACTTGGCTAAGGTTTTAAAGATCTCATTTAGACAAAAAAAGAAGAAACAAGCTCTGAAGTCCATTGCTGTAAATTTTTACTGTTAACACAGCAGTCATGGGATAAAAATCCATGAAGCACTTAACGGGAACAGCTGCCTCTTGCTGAAGTTTTCTGCCTCAGAGACATGCCACCGCTCAAGTTATCATGTGGGAAAGACTTGCTGAGGTGAGCACGCACTATTCTGAAAAGTCAGAGATGCAACCCAGAGAGCAAAACAAAACTGGCAGTTAAGGTCTGGTTTAAACACGGCCAGGATTTCCTTTCTTTGTATGGAAGGGCTTTTTCACACCATTACTCAGTATCATGCTCCACAAGGTTTTGTTTAATATTTAAAAAGATGCTCAAGCTCATGAGAAATTTCAATCACAAGTAGGAAAAGGGAAAAATTCCCAGAGACAGAATTTGGGAGTTTGGTGTTTAGGAGGGCTGAGGGTCTGTATACCTACCCACTGACATAAAGGCTGAGAGGAAAAAAAAAAAGAAATTAAAAGCAGTTTTACAAGGCACTCACTCAACAGCACAGGGGCCTGGTGTGGATGGGATGTGGGACTAGGAAACACTTCACAGGGTGCAGACAGGATGATTAACTCACTTCCTGTGACAACCATAAAAGGAGGAACGTTTGCTCCAAAATATATTAACTATTAAATGCTATCTGGGGAAATGTCTAGACATAAAGCACCATATTTATGCGGTAAAGCCAAAACAACATGATGAATTCTGTGTCCCACTGTCACACTGTGAATACTTGATTTTAACTTGCACTTCTATTTCAATAAATTCATAGTGTAAGTAACTTCCAGTAAATGAGACCTAGGAAAAAAATTAGAGGGATTTTAGCAGAAATACTAGTCATAAAAGTCACCTAATCAGAGAGGCCTTCTGACCTAACTATCTAAAATAGCAACCTTAGCCACTCTCTATTTTGTTAGCTTTGTTAATTTCTCTTCCTAGTGCAAGGCCCATGAGAAAATGAGCCTCACGATGTCAGAGACTTGTCTATTTTCATATCTGTTCAACAGGGATAGGACTAGGGTAAGGCAAACAAGGCATTCACCAAAAATTCAGTTATCAAAACAAATAATATTTCAAAAGTGTCATAAAATTTTAAATGAGTTCAAAACATCTGTGATGAGCAGGCAAAGAAAGATATTATCAGTAACGGTGCTGTGCAAAGACTATTGGACTCTGAACCAAAAGGAAAAATCAATAATCAACCATATTGCATCAAAATCTGAATTATCTTGATAGCTGAGTTTTTAAACATCCAAGTCCTACTTCTGCTATCAAATGACTAACATCAACAATCCATCATCCATTTGGAGAATATTCACTATATCCATTGTAATGAAAACTTTCTACATTTTATCTTCTTCGATCCTTTCAACAACTCGTGTCAAATATGCCCTACCTTCCCCATTTTACAGATAATGAAACTGAGGCTCAGAAGCTAGAAAACTTGCCCTCGTGTAGTATGTGTAAGATCAAACAGTCAATTCCAGATCTACGGGACTAAACCATGCTCCAAAACGGGCATTTGCAAACTATGGCCTGTGAATCAAATCCAGCCCACAACCTGTTTTTATAAACAGTTTTATTGGAACTTGGTCATATCCGTTCATTCATATATTGTCTAAAGATCAGATTTGAGTAGTTTTAAAAGAGACAGCAAAGTCTAAAATATTTATCATCTGCCCTTACAGAAACTGTTTGTTGACCTTGGCTCTAAATCACAAAATATTGCTTCCCTGGCAGAAATACAGCACATAGGTAATATGTACATCTGCATACCTTATGTACCAGCAACTTAATACATATGTTTACAAGAAAGCATATTAAATTTCAGCAATGTTTATAATACGAAAGAATTGGCAATAATGCAAATATCCACCACTTATTTTATTACAAACTTATTTTATTACATAATACTATGCAATGGTCCAAAACTAGACGACCTTACTCTAGGACAAACTTCAAATGAATCCAAGATTTAAATGTTTAAAATAAATATATAAAAGTATAAGAAGCAGTTGTGGGAAGAATTAGAGTAGGGAAAGCATTTCCACATATTAACTAGAAGCCAAAAAAGACTGATAAAATCAAATACAATAAAGAATACTTAATGTTCTGCTTTGGAGGAACTACGGTAAAAAACATCAAAAGACAAATGACCAGCAAAACACATTTGCAATCCATACTGCAAAAGTAAAAGTTCTCTAGTACGCAAAGAGATGCTAGAAATCAATCAGCTCTAAATGTCAGTCAGGCATGGTGGCTTACACTTGTAATCCCAGCACTTTGGGAGGCTGAGGCGGGCAGATCACTTGAGGTCAGGAGTTTGAGAACAGCCTGGCCAGCAAGGCGAAACCCCGTCTCTACTAAAAATACAAAAATTAGTTGAGTGTGGTGGCAGGTGCCTGCAATCCCAGCTACTCAGAAGCCTGAAATAGTCTGGAATTCATTGGGGGAAAAAGTAAACCTCTTTAAACTCAAATTAAAAGACCTCTAAATTACATTTTTAATTGAAAAACCCAACATGCATTATGTTACACCATTTGTGTTTCTAATATGAGAAAATAAGTGGCCACACAGATTCCTTTTTACATGCATACAGTATCTCTGTAAACATATTTAAGACACTATAACATTAACACAGGGAGAGGAAATAGGAGCAATTTTTTACTACTTATTATTTTATACTCTTTGAACACTGAATCATATAAATATCTTACCAATTTAAAAGTTAAACTTTTTAAAAAACCATATAAATTTCAAATGGAGGTAGAAGTATCTAATGCCATTCTGTGAAAAAAAAAGCTAGTTGCAGAACTATTATTACAGAAATATATCACATCATGTAAAGAAAAAATAAATACAAATCAAAACCAGTAACGGTATATACACAAAAATTACAAGGCAACTTCCTAAACCATTAATGATGATGACTTCTGGAAGTCAAAACACATGCATGATCCAGGGAGATACTTATTTTGAAAATACATGTAATACTTCTATAATTAACCAAAAACATGTTAAAAAATTAGACACACAATTAGAGAACTCATGAGACCTGGATCTCAGGACATTCTCAATGAACTCTGAAACCCCTGAGGTTTTATCACATCATAGCATGCATTCTCAACAGGGGTGACACTGCCTCTAGTTGGGTGGTCTTGCTCCCGGTGAGGTAAAAGTTTGTTCTTGGAGTGTGGGGGGTGGGGGAGGGCAGAAATATTGTACTCTTTTTACATTTAAGGCACAAATATACATAGAGCACATAATCAGATATACAATCTATCTGTGGTATTAAAATCTCAGGGACTAGGGGGTGATTAAAGAGAAAATGTCTGAAAAGACTCCTAGGGAGATAGGCAATAATAAACAAGGTTGAGAAACAATGCATTATGGAATTATGTGGGAGAAAAAGACCCCTATAAGCTGGGCGCGGTGGCTCACACCTGTAATTGCAGCACTTTGGGAGGCCAAGGCATGGCAGAACACCTGAGGTCAGCAGTTGAAGGACAGGCTGGCCAACAGGTTGAAACCCTATCTATATAAAAATACAAAAATTAGCCAGGCATGATGGTGGGCGCCTGTAATCCCAGCTACTCGGGAGGCTGAGGCAAGGAAAATTGCTTGAACCAGGGAGGCAGAGGTTGCTGTGAGCCGAGATCGTGCCACTGGATGCCAGCCTGGGCAAGACACCGAGACTCCCTCTCAAAAAAAAATTTTTTAAAAAGACCCTACAGTCTTTTCCATGTGATGTTATATCAGATCCATATTAAAACAAATACTTCATTTGAAACTAAAAATGAGACAATTTATTATTAAAAAGGAAGTCAATATTCTATTTTATGTTAACCACATATGAGAACCCTGTAGGTTGCTAATATACCCATTAGTACAAGTAAACAATTAAGCTGATGCTGTGATTTAGACCCAAGTTTATACAACTCTTCCATTACACTGCATTACCTGTTGCTTCTCTACTGCATTATATTTAAATTTCACCCATCAGACCTCTTGGGAACTAGGGAGATCCTGACTGTCATCCAATTTCTGACCTATGCCTCCTGGCAACATTCACAAATTTAATAAATCCATCTCCTTTGTCAAGCTGTTTGATAAAAATGCTCAAAAGGCCAGGGCTAAAGATAGAACTCTCCATCATTACAGTAGTGCATTATCTAGAATTCCCAGGGAAGGGTTTTTCAATCTATTATGAATCCTCATTTCTCCATGTCAACTCTGAGAATATCAAGAGATATTCTGTCAAGGATCTCGCTGAAATGCATCCATGTCAGTTGCACTTGAAAATGTAGTAATGTTTTCCAGCACATTGCAGGGTTCCCAACAGTAGGTAACAAGGGACCTCCCTTGGGGAATATTAGAACACGGTTCTTCAAGGGTAGGACATAGAACTTCACCTTTGTAATCCAACACATGACAGTGGGGGCATTTGGCAAATAAAATTGCATCAAATAAATAGGGGTATACAAGGAGAATATATAAAAAAGAGCAAATCAGTGAAAACGTAAAAATGGCCGGCTTTCTTGTTTTTCATTGTGTCTAAATTTGTGATCGACATAAAATGTTTGATGAAAATCTTTACAGACCACAGGAATTATTATAATTTTAGGGGCTAAACAGATCATTGATGGAGGAGAAACACATGCAACTGTGAGAGTTACAGAAGCGATATATTTATATTGACAGCAAACAAAGTTGCCACCATAAAAAAAAAAAAGTATTCTTCAGAAAAATAGGTAGAATTCTATTTCTAAGTGAAACACAGTTTCATTTTAGGACTTCCATGGTGAGATGTGGCAGCTCACTGACAATGGTCATGGATGACGAAGACAGTGTTTCCGAAATGCTAAACCAAAAAGACTAGTGCTGGGAGATTTGCAGTGAAGAACCTCATTAGAAATAAAACATATTTCTGAGGCCCCATACAGCACCTCCAAGAGTGAGGTCAAGGAAACTGTTTTGAGAATGAGGAAAACAGCCAAGAACAATATGACAGGCTGATATGGAGTACTAGCTGTTACCAGACATTTGTGCTAAGTGCTTTCAAAGAGTCATCTCACATAATTCTCAAATTCACTGTAGGCCATAAACTTCCATATTACCCCCATTTTATAGATGAGGCATGTGAGGGCAGAGGGTTAAATAACCTGTCCAAGATCATTCCCCTAGTAAACGGTTTTTAACCCTTCACACCAATTCTTTATTAACAGGTAACATTTATAGGCCACTGACAATGGACCAACGTCCACAGATTACCTTATTTGCTCCTGACAATACTACCCTCATTTTCTGAATGAAGAAATTGCAGCCAGAAAGGTTATGCTATTTGGTATTTAGATCACACCATCAAGCAAGTAGTGAAAGCAAGATTCAAACTCAGAGAGATGGCTCCAGAGACTCTCGTTAAACTTCTTGCTATAGCACTATTTAAATGGTTGGTACTGGTGGGCAGTTAGGATGTTAGGCAAATCTGAAGGACAATTTCAACACAGACTTCAGGTCTGTGTCTTACAGCTGAGTTCAGCTGCTCCACAAAGGACAGGATCTCTCAGCTAAGGACATGCACTGGTGAGAACAGACTACCAGTACTGGGATCTTTGACCCTGTCTCTTCATAATCTGCAAAGAAAACAGTTATCATTATAAATGTATTAACAAAAGTACCAACGTTTCCAATAGAATCATATGTTTTTAGGTGGGGCACAAAGCTAAGTAGGTGGATAAAAGGAAATTAAGTGAGTAAGCAATTGCTTTTGTTGCCTAAAGACAGTCAGTCACGAAAAGGCACAGTGTTCCATAAAGGACATATTTAAAAAAAAATTTTTTTTTTAAGATGGAATCTTGCTTTGTTGCCCAGGCTGTAGTGCAACGGCATGATCTTGGCTCACTGCAACCTCTGCCTTCTGGGTTCCAGTGATTCTCCTGCCTCAGCCTCCCGAGTAGCTGGGATTACAGGAACCAGCCATAATGCCCGGCTGATTTTTATATTTTTTTAGAGATGGGGTTTCACCATGTTGCCCAGGCTGGTCTTGAACTCCTGACCTCAGGTGATCTGCCCACCTCAGCCTCCCAAAGGACATACTAAATTTGAGAAGATTAATGACATAAACGTTGCAAGATTAAGGTAGAAATAAAAACTGGTACAAAAAAAGTTCCATGTACAACTAATTGAAACCATAGGCCTTTGTGTACTAAGACAGTCTGCCCTATTTAAGGTATCAAAAGATTAAAAAATAGTTTAAAACAATACCAACACACTCTAAAAAAGACAGTCATGAGGCATCACAGTAACTTGTTTACTGGAAATGAAAAGAGAAAACTTTGGCTTAGAGTATGGCTCTGTGGTGTTGGTTCCACAGTTCTTCAACTACCTGTTTAAATATCACTAATACCATGAAAAAAAAATCTCTGACAGTAGTCTATGTACATTATCAAGAAGGCAAAGGAAAGCATCATTTGACAGTTTTGTGGTGGACTCCTACATGTCTGAGAGTTTTATTTTTTTAAAGAAGAAACCAATCTTTTATTTATTTATTTATTTATTTATTTTGAAATGGAGTCTCGCTCTGTCACCAAGGCTGGAGTGCAGAGAAGCCATCTTGGCTCACTGCAACCTCCACCTCCCGGGTTCAAGCAATTCTCCCTGCCTCAACCTCCCGAGTAGCTGGGATTATAGGCGCCCACCACCACGCCCAGGTAATTTTCATATTTTTAGTAGAGATGAGGTTTCACCACGTTGGCCAGGCTGTTCTCAAACTCCTGACCTCAAGTGATTCGCCTGCCTCAGCCGCCCAAAGTGCTGTGATTACAGGTATGAGCCACCGCATCTGGACCCAAATCATTTTCTTAAACACAATGAAGAGTCCTATTTGGCAAGATGCATAAAAAATACGATTAATAGGAAACTGAAGTTAAGATCCACAGCTTGCCAGTAAGCAGGAGACAGCACATACATTTTTCCTTTTAGATTCTAGAACTAAACCCTGAATGATGCAAGCATATGTCAATTCCCATCTACCATATTGATGAACTTAGCTGCAATACTTTAGTTCAGGAACTCCCATTCCAGAGAAAATGCTTAGTGATTTCCAAAACAGCTGGATCCTAGTTGTGAAAAACAAGTGCTCTAATTAGCAATTTAGAATTCCTTTCCTTGCAGGTAAAACTGCTAATGCAGACAAAGCTGCAATATAAAATAACCGTTTTCAGAAGATGCTGGACAAAGGATGAAGCATGCTGTAATCAGCTTTCATTCTCTTTGTATCCTCAGTTCTCAACTGCAGGACTACTTTTTAAGGGGAAATTTAGACCTTTCAAGTGTCTCGGCAGGACAGCTTGTTTTCATTTATTAGCATTAATTTTTCTCCCTAACTCCCTCCCGGACAGCACAGCAAATTCTTGGTTGTACATTCACAAAAATCCCAGGCCAGGCACAGAGATGCATGCCTATAAGCCCAACACTTTAGGAGGCTGTGGTGGGAGGATCACTTGAGCCCAGAAGTTTAAGACCAGCCTGAGCAACATAGGAGGACCCTGTCTCTACAAAAAAAAAAAAATTAAAAATTAGCTGGGCATGGTGGCACACGCCAGCGGTCCCAGCTACTCAGGAGTCTAAGGTGTGAGTATCACTTGAGCCCGGGAGATCAAGGCTGCAGTAAGCCATGATTCTGCGACTGTACCCCACCCTGGGCAACAGAGTGAGACCATGTCTCAAAAAAAAAAAAGAAAAGAAAAAAAAAGAAAAAGAACGAAGAGGGGAGGGGAGGGAAGAAAGAGATCCAGAAACTACTCCTTGCCCTTTCTAACTACTAACACTCAGGGTCCCATGCTGGATCACCTGTCCTAGAAATGACTGCAATTGTCTCCTAACCTGACTCTCTGACCCACCCTCCCCTCCCCTTCAGTCTATTATCAACACAGCAGCCAGGGATCCTGTTAAAACTTAAGTCAGATCATGTCACTCACCTGCATGAAACCCCCCAACAGCATGCTACATCATTCAGAGTAAAAGACAAAGACCTGAAAAATCATCTATAAGGCCCTACACATCTGGCCTCTGCCCAAATTTACCTCCCTGATCACAGCTTCTACTTCTCTCCCCATGGATCCCTCTACAGAAGCCAAACAGGCCACCTTGCTGTCCTTTGAACATGATCAGCATTTTTCTGCTGTCCTCAGCCTACCTAGAGTAACAGGCAACTCAGTCACCTTCTGGAGGTCCTCATATGTCACTTTATCAATAAGACCTATTCTGCCACACATATGTAAACCGTCTTCCATTGTGCTTTCTTCCTCTTTTTATTTTTTGCTTTGTAGCGCACACCTTCTAATATACAGTACACATTTATTTGTTTCGTATATTGTCTATTGTTCACTCACTGCCCCAAGGGAAATTCTAAAATGACAGCGATGGGCCCATTATATGCATTGCTGCATACACATGGGTCAATAAGTATTCTAAAACACACAAATAACAACGCAGTTTCACTTTATTTTTATTCTTTTTTGTTTTTTCTTCCTTGAAGTTTAACTTTAAAATAGTGGATTTTAAACAACTCTATTGAGGTATAATTTATATATGCTTAATGTCAACCAGTTTAATTGTACAATTCAATGACTCTTAGTAAATTTACAGAGTTGTACGACCATCACTACAATCTAGTTTCAGAACACTTCCATCACACCAAATGATCCGAAGAGGGATTTTTAACTGGAAGTATACCTATGTGACATCTCCTCTCTTGTTATAAAATGTAGTCAAACTTCTAGGAACAGTTTTGAAGCAACTTGCTCATGGACTAGTTACTCATCAACCTCTAATTTCCTTTAGTTACAAGATAATGAGTTTTAGTTCAAATATGGTACCCAGCACTGTAAGAGCAATGGAAATAAGTAGAATTTGATTCCGGCCCTTTAATCAAAAATATGGAATATCCATACAAATACTGATTTCCTAGTATTGCCTTGACAAAATGAGAAAAGGATTTTCTTCCTGGAATATCTTGACATGGTCCCAATGAGACCAAGTACTTCAACTGTCCTTCACTCAGATATGGCCAGGTAAGTACTTCCATGATGATAAGCCTACTTCTATTCGCTTCAGAGTTCAAACCCACCTTGGCCAACATGGTGAAACCCAATCTCTACTAAAAATACAAAAAAATTAGCCGGACATGGTTGGCAGATGCCTGTAATCCAGCTACTTAGGAGGCTGAGGTAGGAGAATCACTTGAACCCAGGAGGCAGAGGATGCAGTTGGCTGAGATTGCACCACTGCACTCCAGCCTGGGTGACAGCGACATTCCGTTTCAGAAAAAAAGACATGAAGTCCTCCCTGATACTACTACCATCACTAATATTCAAACCACACTGGGGCATCAATGAAATATTGACAGAATAGAGAATAAATAAGCAATATTACACTCTTAAATTCAGGATTTTAGACAGTTTCAGAAATAAGTGGCAGGTATAACTTTCCATATATGGACTCACTTGGTTCATAAACTCAGGATTTTAGATGGTGTCAGGAATAAGTGGCAGGTATAAGTTCCCATTTATGAACTCATTTGGTTCAAATTCCTTTATTGGGTGATTCTTTCCTAACCTACCACTGCAGATGTACCAAGTTCAAAGCCAAGAAGAATTAAATGTGACTTTAAGATGCAGATCTAGATCCTAGAATTTTTTTAAGAGTTCAAATAAATTCTGAACATCCACTTAAAAAAAAATCACAGTTAAGCCATCACTACTAACCTACCTTTACTATTAATTATTCCAAACAACTCCTTCTAATCCCAAAGAGTTTCTTCCCCTTGCATATTTATAGGTAATGTGTTGCATATTAACAACTAAAATCTCAAAGCAAAACACATATTGAATATTTGTCAAGTATTACTTATAATTTGCAGATGAAGCTATTAAATTAGCTTCTACAACTAGCAAACATTTACACCAAATTTGAAAATAAGGCAACTGTGTTTTCTTCAGCCCTCCTTAGATGTTTCCCTGTGTTTTCTGCATTTTTTTGTCAGTGATTTTTCAAAACAAAGAAGAAAGGAAAATTCCTTAAGTATGGTCTTTATCCTGACACTAAAACACAGACAGAGGTCAGAACATGACAAAAAAATTAAAGGCCTTCTTTCCTTCTCCTCATGAGTTTCTCAATGCCATCCAAAAAGCTACCCAGGTACCCTACTCTGGGTAAATCACATTAACTTGAGTTGACATTGGAAACACAATCAGAAGATATATCTCACATGGTTCAAAAAAGTGGCATTTCATTACCTTGCTTAAGAATATTTATGACTGATGTCAAATGAACAATTATTTGTGCTAAAAAGGAGTGATAGGAATCTATCTATGGCTGAAGATTGATCTGCCTCACAGTTTAACTCAAAATTATCTCAAAATCTTTTTGAAACGTATTAATCTAAAAAACAACCTCACTGGTTTCATATTAAGTTGTACTTCCATATAAATTAATCTATTCTACCAGTGTGATTGAGAAAGGACATGGGTGTGTACCATCTACCCAGTGCAGCTTTCCAAGGGGAAAATCATTATCGCTGTATCCCTCCTCCCCTATCATGTCTTGAGGGATGCTGGGCCGGGTGATTCGCTCCCCAGGTTGGACATATGCAGCTGATAGGTGCCAAATGTTTTAGTCCCAATGACCAGATGTGCACACCAGGGTCCATGCACGATGCAGGGACTGAGGGTGACCGAGTCTGTAGGTTATTTATGGAAAAAACTTTCTAAAAGGCGCCAGTTCCAACTCCCAGACCCACCTCACCTCCTCACTTTACTCCTGGATCACCATCTACTATCCCTCTTGCCCTTGAAGAAGACTGCCTCTTCTCCAACTTCTTTAATACTTTTTGCTGAAAAGGATAATGTGTATCATACAATTCTGTACGGGACTACTGTGTACCCAAAAGATTGTATTATTTCATGTCTTTAATTAAAATTCCCCAAGAAGAAAAATTAATTCATTCACAAATTATTTGTTATACTACTCCTATTATATATTCATTGATGCAAATATTCATTCAAGGTTCCCTCTACCCCAGACCTTACATGTACTGAGCTCTGCATCCAAGGTACCTTGGAACATTGTTGAGGGACAAGGTTCTCTGCTCCACTGGAGACCACATTGTCATGTGCACACCTGTTGCCACTCTTGCTGTCACCATTGCTAACTATCATTAATGAACCACTCATTGAGCCAGGCAGTTGGCCTGTAGTGTTTCATTTTACTCCTCACCCCATTCTGTGTCAAATATAGTACTACATTCCCATAATAAGGATGTATAAACTGATACATGCAGGACTTAACTCACATGGAGTAGGAGTACAAATTCTGGTGAATCTGAGACTCAAGTTTGTGCTCTTAGTTTTAATTATACGTGACATCATCTGTTCAGTAAAATGTACAGAGTACAGACAACACCATGTCTCAAAGAACTTACAGGTTTAAATAAAGGTGAGCTATGAGAATCATTACCCTACAAATGTTCTTTAAAGTTGACCAACTGCCATAGCACAGATTTTCTTTCCACAGTCCCATGAAGTATCACCATCGATACAGTGATATCATCAAGATCATCCTCATATATCATTCCCTCCCCTCCTCCATCCAACATTTAACAGATGAAGAAAGTAAAGTTGAGAGGGCTTAAATGAATAGGCCAAAGTCAACCCCCAAATGGTAGCACCTTAATTTTACCTGGAATTTTAGTTTGAAATCTATATCAAATAGATCTATAAAAAGCTACCAGTGGCAAGGATACAATGGCAGAAGCACTCTCAGATAATGCCAAAGGCACTAAAATTTACCACAAATATTTTGGGGAAGAATTCTCACAATATATATTAAAACTTTATCAATTTTCACACTTAAGCCCAATGAGTCTACATGTGGGAATCTAAGAACCTAAGAAAATCCAACTCAGCAAAGGAACAGTTATGCACAGATGGGCTTCATATCCATATTCTTAGCGTCAAAAAGGGATGAACAAACTGCCTGTCCAACAATGCAAGTCTATACTCACTGATGGAATATGACATAGCTCTGAAATAGAAGCCATTTAGTAAGTGAAAGGATGATGAAAAAAGCAAAAAAAAGCAGAATATGAAATCATATATCCATGATTGCATAAACCATCACACCACACTTGACAAAATAAAAATCTTTACATTTAATGGTTCAGACCATTGTATTAGCCAAATTTAGTACTTGTTTATGGCCAAAATGACATCATCCATTTAGCTTAATGTCAGAAGCATTATTTCATGGAAGAGTAACATGTCACTGTAAGGAATTTCTCTCTTCTTTCTCAACTTCCAATAAGACGTGCTTGATATATTTTAACATCCATATTCCCCTCCTTTATCTCCCCGCCAGAGGACCAAAATTTTGTATCTAAACTTACTCACATACTATTATTATTATTAAAAATACTTATTTTACATGTTTACTAGAGAAAATCTAGAAGTCAGTTGTGTATACACAAATACATATTCACAAACGCACACACAAGCTTTTGTTTATATATACATCTTTAAAAACATCCATTCACTTTGACCCAGAAATTCCACTTAAAATGTTTTACTGCAACAATAGTAAAGATAGACACAGCTGTCTTAACCAACAAGGAAAGCCTTTGTTCAAATTAGCCAAATTTATAATCAGTGTTCAGTGGCAGTTACATGCACTAAATTTGGAAGAATGTCACTCATTTCTAATCAGAACACCATGATTATAAATTATTATGCCATTAGCCCTTTTCTGCTTTTAACTATATACCTTTCCTTCCCAGTAAGGGAATGAATTTAGACATCTAAAATGCAGTTAATATAAGTCTTAGGGTTTTGATGCATTACTAACATTTGAAATGAGGCGTGAGACCATTCCTATGGTGGGTTAATATTTCTTACTACTTCTGACAAGTAGAATGGAGATTAAGGAGTTGAAAAAGGTGAGATGAACTGAAGGTCTTGCTGATAAAATGAGTAATAATAAAATGTTTCTAATGGAGGTTTTTAACATTCGACTCTGCCTAGTTTGTTAAAAAAGCCTTTATAGTTCAATGCAAGAGATCAAATCACAATCAGAGGCCCCCACTGACAGACCCATCTCCCAACCAGATGTGCGGACAAAGATAAGGCCTGTGATAACTGCAATAGGCCCTATGTGTGATCTCATAATGGTCCAGGTCAGGCCTAGACTTTGTATTCCATTTTCAAACTTGAGCAGAAGTGTCACTTATTCAAGAAGTTTTCCTTGAGCCCACCATTCCAGATTAGTTTACTTTGTCATACACTTCAGAAAACCAGGTTTTCTCTGGGAGCACCAATCTGAGTTTCACTGATCCACTAGAAAGAAATTAAGCCAATGCTGTTTGTGACAAGTCCTGCTTCTCACAAGCCCAACTTTAAGTTTTATGGCAGAAATGGCTAGGAGAAAACTTCGGCCAAAGTGGCCTTAATAAACATACAAGCTAAGCAAAAACAAAGTGGCCTTAATAAATGTACAAGCTAAGCAGAAACAAAGTGCTTGCTATGCCAGTGTTGATTCAAGACAAATCCAACTAGATCCGCTTCTACCCACTCTGCAGTGGCAGAATCTTATATAGAAATTCTAGAGCCACCTGTCTATTTGGCTTCCCATTGTTCCCACAGAGTGTAGCAAAAAGTACTGGCATATAATAAACACCCAGCAAATCATTCTTGAATAAGGAAAGTGAGAAAAAAAAAACACGAATGAATGAAAACTAAGTCAGTGGGTCCTAGTCATCTTTACATGTTTTGCATGTTATTGAAGAGGAATTATAAATCCTGAATCCCTATCACATAGTTCTACCTGGGCCACCAGAAGGCAACCTCACATCAGCACACCCCATTGTAAAACAATGGTATGGTTCACAACCTATCAACATTCCATCTGAATGAACATTCCATCAGGACAGAGCCATACTTGGCCTTCTTGACATTCCCCATTCCCCACTCATCAGGATAACTCACTCACAGCCACATCTCAGGTGTCTCAAGTAATGTCTCATCTCCACATTGCTAGAGGCCACCTGTATCAGTGTTGCCTGCTGTGCACACAAGTAATTAACTTATAATACTCCACTGGCGCTGACACATTCCACAGCATCAAAAATTTCGCCAGCAGATAGTTAAGCATGCGAGATGATTCCTTAGTTAAACTCGATAACCAAATATCACATGTAAATGTCAGTCAATATGGAAGACCTTGTTGACATGCAAGTCACATATTCAGGGCGGAGGTATAGTAGCTATGGTTAAACCTCCTTCTTTTGAAATCTACTAATCTGGATTCTGTGGTAATGCAGATGGAGCTAGAATAGATTTGTTTTTGCCATGAAAGAAAAGTTTGCTTTGAGAGTCCTGAAAACAAAACTGCACGGGTCAGATCTGACTAGATGACAAGTTCAATAAAGAAAGAAATCATGCATAGCACAGTGATAAAGACCATGAATCCTAGAACCAGACCACAGAATCCCACTTTTGCCACTTGGCATGTAAGTGGTCCTGGGCAAGTTACCTAAACTCTTCATCTGTTTCCTTGTTTACAAAATGAGAATAATTGCAGCACCTAACTCTTAGAATTACATGAGGTGAAATGCTTAGTGTCTTGCAAATAGTGAGCATGTTACGTGTTAAATATTAGCCATTATTATTGCCCAATGCTAAACACACAGTTGGACCACAATAAATACTTGTAGAAGAATGAATGAATGAATGAGCATACCCAAAGCTATTTTTGCAAGTGCTTTAGAAGAACACTCTTGAACAACTCACACATTTTCTGCTCATTAAAGTAAGTCCACCCTAAGGGTTTAAGCTTAACTTTTTTTTTTTTTTTTTTTTGAGACGGAGTCTTGCTCTGTCACCCAGGCTGGAGTGCTATGGCGTGATCTTGGCTCACTGCAACCTCCACCTCCTGGGTTCAAGCCATTCTCCTGCCTCAGGCTCCCCAGTAGCTGGGATTACAGGCGTGCACTAGCACGTCCAGCTAATTTTTGTATTTTTAGTAGAGACGGGGTTTCACCATGTTGGGTGTGAGCCACCGTAGCTTAACACTGTAGTCATTCTGGATTTTTTTTTTTTTTTGAGACAGAGTTTCGCTCTTGTTGCCCAAGCTGGAGTGCAATGGCGCCATCTCGGCTCAATGTAACCTCCGTCTCCCGGGTTCAAGCAATTCTCCTGCCTCAGACTCCTACGTAGACGGGATTACAGGTACATGCCACCACGTCTGGATAATTTTTTGTATTTTTAGTAGAAACAGGGTTTCACCATGTTAGCCAGGCTGGTCTCGGACTCCTGACCTCAGGTGATCCGCCCACCTTGGCCTCCCAAAGTGCTGGAATTACAGGCGTGAGAGACTGCACCCGGCCCCGGATTCTTTACTAACTACAAAATTATATCATTTTGATTGGATTTTTTTTAAAGGCTGAACAATTCAAAGAGATACTAATCTAGACTGCGTTTCCTTCTAAAATTCTAGGTCAATGAGACAGTATGTGATCAAATGACAATAGAGTGGGTTGGAACTACCCAGCGACTCATCAAAAAGGCCATAAAAAAGCAGAGAGAACAAAGCCTGAAGCTCAGGCTGAGCCACGCGTGTAAAACCACGACACAAGGACGGACAAAGGAACTATAATAAAGAGTGGAAAAAAGTGGTGAAGGCAATAAAGACAAGAGGAGCTTCACATGAATGGAGAATTATTGGCTTTATAGGTGCCTGGAGAAAGGCAGAACAGGTCATATCACTTTCCCTTCTAGTGAAGGGCAGTTCAGCGATTTGGAATTCAACTATGTTTGATGGAGAGTTTTGATCTCAAACTAACATTTTGCTCTAGCAGCGGCAATGGAGGTGGGTCATTAACTCATAACCCCATAATAAATAAATGCATGTGACAATGCCACCCAGGAGAGGACAGTGCTGAGAGAACCATCTGAGAAAGTCCCCCAGTCCATAAGAAAAGATCTCCTTTCCCATGACGTTTCCCGCCTCATTCACACTTTATACTTCAGTGAAGATTACTGATTAATTTTATCCTCTCCAAGTCATGGTTTATGTTATAAAGCCATCCTGCCAATATCTTTGGGAAAGTCTCCAAACCACTTTAGTGATTACAGAGTAAAATTGTCCCCTCTTTCCCATCAACTTAGTTCTATGTTTCTGAAAAGATAACACATTAACCATTGTGCTCTATACCTTCTGAAGCAAATTCCACATGAGACAATTCTACTTACACTGATAAAAGTTTGTTTTCCAGCTACTTATGTGTTCCCTGCATGTATTAAATGAGCAACTGCTGCTAGGTACTGCATAGAATACTATCTGAAAGAATACTGTTAAATTACATCCACTTAAACATATCACCTGTACACTGAAACCACATGTTTAGAATACAGATACCAAAATTTCTACCAAATTCTAAATATACCCTTGCCTTCTGAGGTCTTTTTTTTTTAAAATATATATTGCACATATTTTCAACAAGCATTCCTTTAGTATTTCCATTGTTTAGGTTAAGATTTAATTTTCTCCCAAAGGACAAGCCCAGATCAAGGCTTCAACTTGTCATGAATATGTTCATTTAGGTAAAAGAAACTAACAAAAAACCCATCTTCTACAAAGTATATTCTACAGTTCAAATTATCCACTTATACAAGTTGTAAGAACTATTAACAATTTCGTCATTTATACTTGATACAACAGAGACCTGTGAAAATAAAATACTGTCTTTAAATTCTAATGTGGATTAATATGTATTTCATTGGTATCTTGTAAGTACTTAACTTGGTAGTCTCATAAGGAATTAATCATAAATATTTTCTCTTTCTAGCATCCGCAAGTATAAAAGCATAAAATTACACTGAATTCACTAAATGCGTATTAATTCAAATGCATTTTTCTATATATGGCATCTTTTTCTGATTTTTTTTCTAGATGCCATATATATCTTTTACTGCAGTTCATGGTTTGTTACAAATCCAGGTATCTGGTAATCTGTAAACTCTTATGAAATAATGATTTTTACCCTTTTTGGGGGTCATAGATGACTTTGAAAATATGATGAAAGTTATTGACAGATACATATAAAATGGTATTTAAAACCTTGAGGGAGTATGTTTAATAACCCCTTAAAGTCTTATGCTGGTTAAGAACTCCTACTTTAAAAGTGCAGAACAGCATGTATAGTATGCTACCTTTTATTAAGGCAGAAATTACGAACATATATAATTTAATTATATTTGCATAAAGAAACCCTGGAAGGATAAACGAAAACTAATAAATATGGTTACCTGTGGGAGGATAGGGTGGGGACGGAATATAGAATTCACCAACATGGTGGAAATAAGACTTCTCTGCATATACCTTTTTACATTATTTTGACTTTCAAATGCTGTACATGTATTATCTATTTTTAAAAATTAAATTACAAAAACTAAATGACTAAACAAACAAAAAAATAAACATAACACTTGTTTACTGTGTCTCCCTTTCCTTCTCCAAAGCGGAATATGAGTACCGTAAAAACACAGATCTTATCTAAACAGCTCTCTTTGGTGTCCCAGCTTCTAGAACAGTGCCTGACACATACTAAGCATTCAAAAAATGCTTACTATAAGTATGATTCATGTGTGAGGTATTATAAATAATGCATACATAATTCATACATGACAAAATATATAGCTTATTGATTACTCAATAAATACGTTCCCGCTTTTGACTATACTTCCCAAAGGGTGTGTTTGTTCTTCAGAAAAGCTTCATGAATGTGACTGTGGATATAAAAAAATGAGCCTTAATAGCAAAGGAACTCAAAGGAACAGTTTTCCTATACACGCCACACTTAACTCTCCCCATTTCACTTTGCCATAGGTTATGTAATTCCCATTTCACAGATGAGCAAAGTTGTACTCAAGAGGTTAAACATGTTCCCTCAAGCCATGCAACTACAGGAGCAAAGGAAAGATTTCACAACTAGGTGAACCTGACTACCTGACTACCACCATTTCTAGCATAATTAAGAAAAATTGATATGCTTATACTTCAAGCAATAAAATTAACACATTCCTTTTAGACAGTCTATTATCCTGATCTTGTCTTGAGAGTCAACACAGCTGTCAACAGTCTTCCACAATGTTAAACATATTCTTAGAGACACATCCCTCTCACCATGTATTTCTTAGGCTTAGAGAAGCTTAAGGGACTTAAGTGAGCTTAAGGTGTCAGATATATTGACGCAGAAGAGAAATCAACGTACTTAAAACCCAACCCTAAAATCCTTAGCAGTCCCTAGACAAAAAAATACTTCATGGCACCAGGGAGGCAATTTAACTCAGTGTAGGGAGCTGGGTGTAAGACAGCAAAGAAGGGCAAAGAACTGTAACTGGGGAGTGCAGAGCCCGAGCTGTGTCTGAAATAATGCTTCTCAAACTCTAGCCACATGCGCATCACCTGGAAGGCCTGATAAAGACAGTGGCACACACCCCAGAGTTTCTCATTTAAAAGCCTTGGGATGATGGGTTGTAGAAATGGGTGTTTCTTACAAGTCCCCTGGGTTGATGCTGATGCTGTTAGTCCCAGGGACCACAATTTGAGAATGACAGGTCTAAAGAAAGCAGCTTCCACTCAGTTCTAGTGTCTGGTTGAGACTGAGCAATGTAGATCCATGGAAACCTTAAGATTTTTCAAGCATGGCTGGATTTTCTCAGTCTGTTTCTATTTTTAAAATACTCTGAAGATCAAACAAACAAGACTTCCAGACAAGGAATATCTGATCTTTGAGGAATGATGTGCCTAAACTTTCTTATTTAGGGGACCAAACAGAGCATCAAGCCACAATTACCCTAAGAAAACAGACATCAATCTGACCTGAGCAGAAAAATGAAGTGAAATGGTTTATTTTTCATTTATTTAATTAAGTCCGAATTTTAAGATGCCTGTGTGTCCTGCAACCACATGTTTATCCCCACTGCTGAGAAAAAACTGCATACACACCTGTCCCTAATACTTCAACCCTAAAGGTATTATTTGGAAACAACAAGAAAAGCTGAACTCAAACCAATGAATAATAAGTGAATCCATGTTTCTGGAAACTTATGCTGCCTAAGATAATGTTTGTGGGTATTAGTCACACCCTTTCCCCTTCCTGGCCCCTCCTTCCAGGTAACATCAGTGTCACTTCTGAAGGTCCTACTGGAGAGATGGAGATAATGATGATAATGGGAATGATGTTGATGCCAAAGTTTTTTAACACTTTACTGCCTGTTTGGCCTTGTGCAAAGAACACATATCATCATAATGAAGCCTTACTAGATCCCTGCTAAGACAAAACATTTTTATCCCTATTTTACAAATGAAGAATGCAGGCTAATGGATTGAGTAACTGGCCCAAGTTAACACAGCTGATCAGTGAAGGGTCTAGGATTTGAGCCCAGTCTCTATAATGCAAGATTTTACACATACCACTCATTGCCTTAATTTTAGGAAATTCAAAAGCTGAGCTACAGGGGAGTACAGGGGACAGTGGTCAGAACACAGGAATGCAGGATACTCCCCAAGACCCATTATAAAGCTATAATTACTTAATGACAAAAGCAACCAGCCTAAAACCATCTTGTCTTCTGATCCAGAAGCAAGGGGGACAAAATTGCCTAACCTACTCATCAAAAAACCCCACCCTTGTCATATCTGGATGATTAGATCTGCATTTAGGAAGGAAAAACAATGACTCTAGTTGGCTGTCAAGCAGAGTATATTAAATTTCTTGTTCCCAAGACAGATCCCATTGATCAGTTTTACTTAGGCTCAGTCTCCAGAGTAGACTTCATAACTTAGGTTTATGACTTGATCAAATGATGCAGAAAAATCACCCCAAAAGCTAAATGATTATATTATGCACATTACAGAGTGCCATGTTCCTGGCAGGGCAGCTGACTACACAAACAGGGAATTTATCACCCTGATACAGATGGCCTAACAAAGGGTTCCGTTTCAGTCATTTCAAGAAGAAGAGGCCATGCCACCACTCCAGGAGATGCATGACAGCCAGACAGTTGCACATTAAAGAGACATTTACGGGGCTCCTACTGGATACCAAGCACCGAGATCCAAGATGAACAAGGCAGAACAGCCTTCAGGGGTTTGCATTCCAGTGGGGGAGAAAGGTATGAAGCAAGTAAACTAACACAAACTTGTGTAAATGCAGCTTGTGAAAAACAACATAAGATAATTGAATGTGAAATAAAAATATCAAGGAGACCCTACAGAATACAGCGACTCCTGAGAAGGTGGCACGTAAGCTGAGCTCTGATGGATATATAAGGATGAGGGGAAGGGCATTCCAGGCACATGGAACAGCATGAACAGAAGCTGCAGAGGAGAAGACAACGATGAGAACAGCACAGAACGTTAGGGGCAGGACAGAGCTCAGCCCAAGCAGATGTAAAATGAATGCAATGTACCATTCTCTTAAAGGGCAAAGAAGAACAAAATGACACTGGGCTTTAGTGGTCCAGGAGGGTTTCTCACACAGGCAGGGACACTGATCAAGCATTAGGGTGTAGAGGGTAAATTTCAGAGGACAAAACACAAGTGTTGTGAACATAAGAAATTTTGAAAAGAAAACCACAACTAATACTGCTATTTTCCTCCATCAAATTAGTCATTCTCCAGCACCTTTGAGCGGCACAGTTGCATGCAGATACCAATCACTTGCTTCCAACAATCATTTCTGCTCCTCCAAACCCATCCCTTAGTGTTAGGAACCAAGACACTCAGCAGGATTCAGCATTACTGCCTGAGCTCCGCCTCCGGTTAGGTCAGCGGCAGCATTACATTCTCATAGGAGAGCGAACCCTATTGTGAACTGCGCATTCAAGGGATCCAGGTTGCACGTGCCTGATGATCTGAGGTGGAACAGTTTCATCCCAAAACCATCCCCCCATGGAAAAATTGTCTTCCACAAAACCAGTCCCTGGTGCCAAAAAGGTTGGGGACCGCTGGCTTGGGAGCCTGAGGACAGGGTAGTTCTCCAAATCAGGTGAGCCTCTCTTAGATGTCCTCCTTTCTTCAGGGCCTCGGCTAAGCTAACACAGGTGGACTCTTGACCCAGAGAAGGCCATGATATTCTCTCTGCAGGGAATCTGAAATTGGAACACATAACTAGTCATATTGAGGCCTTAGATTTGCAGGGACCGGAGGGAGCAGCATTCCTGGTAAGTCATTACTTAATGAAAGAGAACAAAAAGCTTGATAATCAGACTGACAGATGCTGGTACCATGGTACAGCAGTACCATCAGACCAAGAGACAGAAAGATAGTGAGTGCGGCACAGGAGTGGGGCTCCTAGGACTTTCCCAGAAGTGGCCCCTCTCTCCACTGAGTCCTGGCTAGATGTACTGCCCAGCCTTGAGTGTGAGAGACATCCTTGTATTCTCCAAAGAACCTCCTGCCTTTGCCTAAAGTAAGTTCGTGTGGATTTCCATTCTTGCCACTAAATGATCCTTGAATGACACAATGAGAGTTCTTTTATAGGGCATTAGGTTAGAAAAATGTGACTATCTCCAATTCAACAAGCAATTAATTATAAAGTGTATATTCTGTGTTCAGCAGGGGAAAGCAAAGATAGATAAGATTCAATGTCTACCTTTGAAGACTTTGCCACTCAGCAGGAAAGATGATCATAAAGAGAACTTATGTAAGGCAGATTCATGAAACACAACAAAAGAAAAAACCTGTAACTATGGAGGCATATAAAAGAGGGCAATTAATTTAAATTAAGAGAATCAGGGATGGCTTCATAGGAGAGGCAGCATTAAGAACCCTTGACCTTCAGGTGTCTTCAAATTACAGGCAGCATTACTAGGTTGCTATGATTTTACCCGATTCAAGATAATTCCAGCCAGCCATGGTGGCTCAGGCCTACAATCCCAGCACTTTGGGAGGCTGAAGTGGGTGGGTAACTTGATGTCAGGAGTTTGAGACCAGCCTGACCTGGCCAACATGGGGAAACTCCATGTCTACTAAAAATACAAAAAGAACTAGCCTGGTGTGGTGGCACGAAGCTATAGTCCCAGCTGGTTGGGAGACTGAGACAGGAGAAACGTTTGAACTCGGGAGGCAGAGGTTGCAGTGAGCTAAGATGGCACCGCTGCACTCCAGCCTGGGCAACAGAGTAAGAGTCTGTCTCAAAAAAAAGGAAAAAAGAAAAAAAAGAAGAAAAGTCCTTGAATATTTGTAACTAGCCCCTAAACAGGCAGAAATTAAAGTAATAATAATAATAAAGTCTAACATGGTTTGCTTGGAAGAATAAAAAGGATAACTAACAAACCAGAAAAATACATAAACCTCATTAAGGCAAATGCTCCAAGCCAGGTAACAAAAGGAAAATTTCACAAGAGTCACAGGTTAGTAAGTGGATACAGACATCTGCTTTCAGACTAAGAAAGGGGTGGTCAAACCACCTAAGTGTCATTGTTTCAGCCCAAAAGCCCCTCTCTGAGGCTTTCAAGTGGGGTGATTCAATAGTGCAAAACTGGATGCTGCAACTGAATTAAAATGGAATCGCATGAAAACAGGGGCTCTTCACAAATTGCCTGTAAGACACAAGATGAAATCCTTTTGACCAGTCACTCCAGGACTACGTGGAATAGATTTCTTCCACCTTCTCCTGCAGAAGCTACTAAATGACACCAGCAGTAAGACAGGAGAGGAAGGCATCCCCTTGGAAGCCATTTAATGATCACCTAATTGTTCCCGTGGTTAGGAAGGAGCTGGCAATTACAACAGCAGAAGACTTGTGTTTAGTGATTACATGTTTGCCTGCTCTCCATAAAAATGCTGCATCCAAGTCAATAAATTTGTGGAGTACATTATACAGCACAGTGCATCATTCACCTAGAACTGCACAGGCAAAGAAGTGGAGCAGATGGCAAGTGAGAAAGAAATATTGATCACCATGAATAATTTTTACTAAAAAGCATATAAAAACTGGATTTTAAAATATTTCAAAATAATTTATTCACTGTGGTCTCACTGTTTTACATTTCTGTTTATAAATATTTACAACGCACTACCTTCGTCAAATAATTATTATTCAGTGTTCACAGTAAAGAGAAAGGCATCAGAGACTGTGTGTGTGTATGCCTCTCCTAATCTGTGTGACAATATTTTAATTTAGCATTAATTCTCAACTCTTCTCAGTTAAACATACATGGCTTTATTTGCTGTTTCAGGTGATATTTATAGACAAGCAGCATGCATTCACAGTACAAGTTTTTATCTGTAGTGATTTAGTGATACAAGGGAAAGACTTCAAGTTAATATTAATGTGGAATACTAACACATTTTCAACCTAATTTCCTATGTACCCTAAACAAGTCAATGGAATAAAAGAGGCAAAGCACAGAGACAGGGATGACTCAAAGCAATTTCATTAAAGAATGTTTTAAAGGAGTGAAAAACACACTGTGGTACTATTCCAGGATAAAGAGGGAAATAGCTAAAGAGCCAATAACTAAGACCCCTCCCTGCATGTCACATAACCTTTCCAATCAGAAATGTCATACAAAAGGTATGTAATTGTACTTGATCATTGCCAGCAGGAAAAATCTCAATATACGCATATGAGAAGTCTTAGTATAGTCTTTCATTTTAATATATCAGTAATAGTCCCATTTGCCCTGCTTCATTTTCCTTATTTCCCTTCTGTTTGCCTGCTTTTAATCTCCAGATATGGTGACTGGCATATCTAATTGAATTAATTCTTGAGCTGGTTTTTTAGAATACAGATTAGTAAATGATTGCTCAGTCTTCCTGGATCTCTTTAAACTAACCAAACTGGAACTGACTAGATCCACATTAAATATTTTTTCAGTGAGTAGTGAGGCTGAGGGGCAAGAATAGTAATGACCAAAAGTTCTGGGAAGAAGGTTGTGAAATGATTCTGCTGCCGACAGCTGGAATATTAGTGTCTCCAACTGTCTCTTCTTCCCTGTAGAATAAATGTATGAATATGTAGTAAGCGTGTGTGTGTGTGTGAGAGAGAGAGAGAGAGAGACAGCGTGCACGCGAGTGAGCACTGGCTGTTATGGGGACATACATATGTTACACAAGTAATTAACGGAATGAAAATTAAAAATAAATTCTCATGGTCCTCTCTGGAGGATAATCACATATCTGTTGGAGATAAAGACATACAACTAAAAGACAGAAAAGTCAATTTTTCATATATATATATATATAATTTTTTTCCCCTTAGTCCACATGCTCTTTCATTTTCAGGTTAAACTAAGGGGTTAATATTTGTTCCTTTCTCCAGAAATAATGAACTTGGCAATTCTATCTCTGAAATTGAGATTCTGTTCTTTAGTGAGCATAACATATTACTTTGTGTTATACTCCTATTTTAGGAGTAAAGAACAAATAAGATTTCTGTTGACACTCCACAGTGCTATGAAACAAAGTATTTTTATTTCTTTTCAGATAATATTAAAATCACCTGTTGTTAAAGGAGAACTTTCTCAAGTATATCAGTATACACATAGAGATATCTGTGTGCCTACGAATGCTATTATTTCAGTAGAACTGAAACATAATATAAATCTTTAACTCCCTAGAGTAACACAGTATGGTAATCACCAAGAACATTCCCGTGCCAAAGTAAATTTAAGACAAGGGTATTTTTAATAATGACTAACTGTGGGGAATTTGACATTCAGTTATAATGGAACAGCCAGGTTTCTAGCCAGGTATCTATATTGCTCAGGATCCAAGCATACATATAAATAGATTTAAGCCACAGTTGTACTTTTATGCAATTTTATTCCTGGAGCCTAATTCACATACATTTCTGTAGATGCTCACACATTTTCGCTAAGTCCAAAATGAGATAGCATAGCATTGCAGGTTACAAATATTATTTTAAAATTAAAAACTATTTAAACATTACCATTGTCATTAGCTAATGGTTTTTATCTTCCTGTGGGACAATAAAAGCATTAAAAATCAATTTACATAGCATTTACTTCGCGTAAGAGAAAAAAAAAGTGGCCATTCACATTTTCCAGTTAAAAACATCTAACATGCTATTGGGTCACAAATAATAAAGACTTGGGTTCGTACAGGAAGGTCTGAAAAAGACTGAAGCAGAACAGAATAAAGTTCAAGGCTATGACATATCGTATACAGATCCAAAGCAGTCAGTAATTCTTATCCATCATGTTTTCAGCCTAAACCACAGTATACATTCAATAACTAAGGTGGAGGTTAATGTTAGATTAATTGCTGGGAGATGCCATTATGTATGGCCATTAAATTGAAATAATACTATGATGATAACAATTTATCACAACTTGATTCCATCAGATGATTATTAGGAAAGTTTCCCATCTTGCTCAGGACATGTTGGTACTGTTCAATCAAACTCACATGCATGCAATCACTTTTACCTAAACTGATCTGTCTTCAAGCTTGTCCTTTCTCATCTGATTTGTTAAGTCCTCCAACTCCACATCTCATTGAGATATTCTCATCTGTTCATCCTTATGCTGCAGAATTCCCATAATATCACCACAAAACATTTCCAGTGGACCACTGCTATAACTTAAGGAAAAATAATGGATGTAGTATGCGGTTTTGCAAGGGAAGTATCTTACAAGTGTCAGTGTCTGACAAATCTTCACCTTAAATTCTCCCCCTGGCTTCGCTTGAGTCTAGCCTCCTCTCTCCAATCCTGCCAGCTCATACTGTGCCATTTTTTCAGGGCTAGAATAAACGTCTCCCCACGAATCTCTGAAGGTCCCTATTGCTTACCTCATCTAATAGAAAGGCTCTACAAACCAGCCCTATACAGAACATCAAAGTGATGAGAGCAGATGGTATTAATAGCTTTCCCCAGCCCTAAGAGTCTGAGATCCTGTGTTTCAACACCATCACCAGCCCAACCTCTCTCAACATTACACTCATCTTTAAACAAACATATACAAATTTACCACCAATACATTTCCCAGCACACCACCACTAATACCACTAACACATTTCCCAGCACACTGCCAAGGGTTATTAAAAAATGAACCTCAAACAAGAGAACTTTAACAGGGAACCATGCATACATTCAAACCTACATTCAAACCTCAGTAAGGAACCAGTATGTTTGGTGGAGGCGGGAAGTTGGGCAGGGAAGGGATTTAGGTGCTGAAGTCAGCAAGTAACATGAAACCAAGCAGGGCATCGTCAAAATTACTCTCAAGAAATCTCTAGGAAAACAAACTGGAAGACCAATGAGTCTGTCCTCTCCCCAGATTTCCAATCCAACACTCTTCATCCAAGGGAGTACTACATATTTGCAGCTGGTTTGCAACTTAGTCTTATGTAGGAAGTAGATGTATCCTTAAATTCAGAATCATGTGACAAAGTCACTATAGGAACAGGTCAAAGCATCTGAAGAGAGCAGCAGATTGTACAGCAGCAGAAAATACACTCCCTTGTATTTTCTCTGGAGCATTTGTGCTTTAGAGTAGAACTTCTTACTCTACATACACAGAAGGGTTTTTGTTTCCTTCCCCTGGCCCTCACAGAGTGTAGTTTAGTATGACTGACGTGCTGAAAGAATGGAAGGTGCATCTCCATCACCCTTCTACATTGGAGAAGAAAATGCAGCAGTGAGCCTTGGGGCTAGAAATTATGTTAATTAGACAAGCAGCAGGAAAGGAACCCAGCCTGTGGGAAGAGTCTCCCCTCCCCATAGAACCACCACAACAATCACATTTATTACACTGCTTAATTGCCATTGCAATATACAACCTTAATTTACTAGGGAGCCCGTAGGTAACCTTTAGAAGTGCTGCCCGGCATCCAGAAGTGCTCACGTTCCTAGAGGCACTGATACTAGGGGACCTGCCTAGGTTTTTAAATACCAAGGGACAAAGTCAATAATGGCGAAATTGACCAGCAATTCCTTTTTTCTAACCATTCCTTTTGCCTGCGTGCCTGTGTCAGTATCTAGTTTCTCTCTATTTTTGCCCCTTTCAAGCAATTCTTCATTGTCAGTAGCAGAGCAAGGGTGGGTGGGAGAAGAGTAAGGCTCTGACTTAGCTGGGGGCAAGAAAAGCCTCCTGAAGGAAGTGATTAAAGCTAAGCTTCTGAAACAGGAGCTAGAATTCAACCAGGTGAAGCAGGTTGGGAGGAGGGAAAGCGTTTCTGAGTAGAGACAGCAGTAGGTGTAGGGAAAATTGTGGGCTTGACCTGGGGCACGGTAAGTAGAAAGGGCGAGAAATTAAGAAAAGTCATTGCTGGATCCTAGGATGTATCCTGAGACCTATTGGAAGCCACAAAAATGGTCCCAGAATAGTTACTGACACAGGAGTGATACATTCATATTCCCATTTTTAAAGGTTCCTCCAGATTTTCTGTGTAGACAACAGTGGGTCACAAGAGGGTAAACTTGAAGCGATGTTCTACAGCTTCCACAGAAGGCAAGAGATTACTATTTAGTGGTGGCAGTGAGTAGGGGAGAAAATATGGATTCAAGTGACACTGATAGGAGCTGGCTGATGATTAATTGTAGACGGAGGAAGACAGACATCCCAGGTTTGAGGCTAGGGCAAATGGATTATGTTTCTGCCACTCCTGGGGACAGAAAGGACTGAATGAGGAACAGGTTTAAAGGTAAGGAAGCAGAAATGGGCAGAGATACTGAACTTGGTTTTAAGGTGTCCTGAGAACTCCGGCGTCAAGGAGGAAGTAGGTGATAAGGGCTTTAATCTCAAAAGGGAGATTTCAGCCAGAAATATCAATTTGAGCATGCTCTTGGAATAGATGGTAATTTTAGCCATTATGAAGTTGCCTGGGGAGACCGTGTACAGAGTGAGAAGAGAAGGGGCCTGCAGATAGATCCTTAGAGGAATTCCAACAGTTAATGAATTTAATGAATGACAGTGGTTCAACCCCTTTATCATTCAAAGCTTTGGTGTGGATAAAATAATGGCTTGTCACTCCCAGCTCACAAACCTGTAAAGAGTTCCCTAACACTGCTTAAAGCAAAATTGCCCCCAAGAACTTCAAAATCCTGGCTTACAGCACAGGCACTAAAGTGGTCCTAACAGTCAGTGGTGGCTCCCAGGGCCCCAGGTTTGCTAAACATGCACTGCCTCCACATATGAGGTCTGAGGAAGACTGGGATTCTGATACTGTCTTTTTTTTTTTTTTTTTTTTTTTCTGAGGTGGAGTGTCGATCTGTCGCCAGGCTGCAGTGCTGTGGCGTGATCTCAGCTCACTGCAACCTCCGACTCCCTGGTTCAAGTGATTCTCCTGCCTCAGCCTCCCAAGTCGCTGAGATTACAGGCACGCACCACCACACCCAGCTAATTTTTGTATTTTTAGTAAAGACAGGGTTTCCCCATGTTGGCCAGGATGGTCTTGATCTCCTGACCTCGTGATCTGCCCGCCTCGGCCTCCCAAAGTGCTGGGATTACAGGCGTGAGCCACCACGCCAGGCCGATTCTATCATTTTTAAAATTTGGGTTTGCGTTACTTGCTAATACCAGTCAGAAAAGAGCACTTCACAGAATCAAGTAACCCCATCAGCAACAGAGCACAGCCTCTCTGTACTTTGTAAAACAGTAGAAGTCAATTGTTGCCAAGAAGAAACCCTTGCACATTCCCCAAAAAACACTCTGTGTAGACTATCTCAGAACCAGACACGGAAACAAGCGCTGGAAATACACAGGAAATTAGGGGAGTCCTCTGCCCTCAAGGAGACTAGAGAGAGCAGATTGGGAGCCATCTTCCCACGAAATAATCCAGAACTAAATGTGTAAAGAATTCTTAGAACCATACAAAGAAGAATACTTCTTTAAAAGGTTGCCTGAACTATCTACAATATTGAGTCAAAGAAAATCTTTCTACAAAGGGCACCAAAGTATAGTCTACCAGAGGTCAAAGAAACACAAATTTCAAGCAAATTTTGAAAGGATGAGATTATTACAAAACCAAGAACATTAAAAGCTACAGTTCAAGAAGTTAGCCAGGTCCCATTAGGACATCACACTTTCTAAATAGTTTCAGCAGAAAACACTGGACAGGCTGGAATAGAAGTGATTGCCACTTCCAATTCTAGTAACTAGGAAAAAGAGTTCAACTGGGAAGGGAGATTACTTTTCTAACATGAAAGATCAGAACTGAAACACTCCTAAAATCTGTATAGGCATGCATTATCACTGCTAACAATGAATGACTTACTGTCTTTAAGAGCTAGGGGGCAATTTACAGCTTCTTGTACTGCTTACGAAAATGATATTTTAACCAGTTCCATGTTCCTGCAATGAAAATTCCACAGAGCCAATGGGCTGAAAGGGAGCGATGGCATGTCTTGGGGACAGCTGGGTTGAAATACTTGTCCACATGACAGGACATAGGATTACTGCAAAATCCCCATGAGTTTTTCCAGAAATCCCGTTCTTCAAATAGGATAATATTTACGTATATGCCATGCAGCAACTGAGCTCTCTTCCCAGTTTTGACTTTACATTAATAATTTAAACATAAAGATCAAAAAACACTCACTTTCACATTTCCTGTGGCAGGCATAAACATGGTAAAATACTAAAGGGGGTCGAATCAGCCAGTTCAAATATGAAGCAAGACTTCTTAGGTGAACAAAGAGTTTTTTTATCCAGTTACCAGAGGTGCAAGAAAGTAAATGTAATCTGCCTCTAACACAACTGTACAGAAAGAACCTATAACCAATGCTTTAAAAAAATGTATTAAAAAAAAACCATTTAAGGCATGGTTGCTGCTCCTAAAGTTCCTCTGGGCTTCTGTCTGAAAGAAATACCAAGAACAATTAACCCTCTGAAACCTACCATTTATAGTTTTCTTTCAGCATTTACTTCATTGAACACCTACTATGTCTAAAATCATGGGGGCAAAAAACATAAGATACAACTTCCACAAGACTGGAACTCCCAGAAGTTCTCACAATCAAGCATTCAGAAAAAGACAATTTGGAGGCATAGGTGTCATAACACAGGTATAAGCAAAACTGCAGGGGCATAAGAGGAAGTAAGTAAGATGGCAGAAAGTCAGATGGGGGAGAGCTGGGGGAAAAGAATGTGAGGAAAGACAAAAGAATTCAGCACAGGCCTGGAAACTGTCTCCCAGAGAAAGCTAAAAAGGACCTTGTAAGCCACACAAAGTATTTTAAAACTTTATATTACTAGTAATGCAAGGCCATTCAGGGATTTTTCTGGAGGAGGGGCCTGGAAGGCAGTGATTAAAAACTAAAGGCTTGGCCGGGCTCAGTGGCTCATGCCTGTAATCCCAGCACATTGGGAGGGCGAGGCAGGCGGATCATGAGGTCAAGAGATTGAGACCATCTTGGCCAACATGGTGAAATCCAGTCTCTACTAAAAATACAAAAATTAGCCGGGCACGGTGGCGGGTGCCTGTAGTCCCAACTACTCAGGAGGCTGAGGCAGGAGAATTGCTTGAACCCAGGAGGTGGAGGTTGCAGTGAGCCGAGATCACGCCACTGCACTCCAGCCTGGGTGACAGAGTGACAGAGCGAGACTTCTTCTCCAAAACAAACAAACAAAAAAAAAAAAAACAAAGAATCCAAAGGCTTTAAAAACAAAACAGAAACCCAAAGGCTTAGGAAGGGGAAAAAATGTCTTAGGTTTCAGCACCTGAGCTGGCATTTGACAGTCATGGAAACTTGGTTGCTTAACCCCTCTCTGTTACAAATTCCTCCCATGTGAAATTAGGACAATACTGTTTTCCAGGCAGGTGAGTTGCATAAAAGGTAAAATATACTAGACCCTCATTGAGGCATGTGGCACATAGTAAACGCTACCCAAAGCCTCACTTCAATTGTGGTTTCTCCACCACCAATGCTCAAGACCCTGATTCTCCTCTACATAATTAATTTTTGTTGCTTCTTTCCTTAAAGAGACAGCCTGTATCAGAGCCTCTCCTTCATATTGCACCCCTCAAAACATAAAAGGCTACATTTTTATTTAATCCTCATTACGCTACCATCAACAAGAAAAACTGCATTATTTTTATTTTTCCATCTGTTCATTTAAATCCATTTTCCTTCGGTTATAAATACCCCAGCACACCTGGTTTTTTTGTTTGGTTGGTTGATTTGGTTTTTTTGAGTTGTTTTTTTAAGCCATCAGGTCATACTCTACTAATCCCTTGGTGACGAAAACCAGGCCGTTGGCAAGACCATCTGAGCATTCCCATTAAAAGCCATCACATGCTAAGGTCCCATGGCTTTTTTTTTTTTTTCTTGGCTTGTCTTTTTTGTTAAGTGCCTTCTCTCTTTTCCTTGGAGTGTCAGCAGTTTGAGCTCGATTACTGAAAGTGAAGAAGAAATGCCTTTCTCTTTCCCTGACAGCTATATTCCCACTGTGACAAAGATAATCATAGACATTAACAGTGGTAACAAGCTATTAGATCATCAACTCAGTGCTTCTTCCAGGGCAGGCAAAGCATCTAAAATAACACAGTATCATGACTGCATTCTCAAAGGTAAATACATTAACTCTCACTCCCAATTAACAAAAAGGCTCTTTACACACCTACGCTAAATCCCTCTGTGCTTGATACAATACTCCAGGTACCCAAAGTCAGACTCCACTTTGGAGGTATTCAAACCTCTCTCCATCCCTCCCTTCCTTTTCTCTAATAGAATCTCCTGTTCCCTAGATTACTTTTCCCACTACAGAATCCGTCAACCCCTCTGCCTTTTATTGTAGCTATAGCAACCAATCACTCCATATCTGGAGGACATAACCCACCCTTGACCGCCCCCCATAACACTAGCATGAAAAATGTTTTAAGCTTCATGAAGAAAGAAATTTGAGGTGTTTGGTGCACTACTGAATTCCCAGCACCTAGAACAATGCCTGGCCATAGCAGGTGCTCAATAATTCTTGGTAGGAAGGATGAGGGAGTGAATGACTGCATTTATGAGCAGTCAACAGTTTCCTTCTTTTTTTTTTGTAAAACGGAGTTTTACTCTTGTTGCCCAGGCTGGAATGCAATGGAGCGATCTCGGCTCACTGCAACCTCCACCTCCTGGGTTCAAGCAATTCTCCTGCCTCAGCCTCTCGAGTAGCTGGGATTACAGGCATGTGCCAACACACCCAGCTAATTTTTTTATTTTTAGTAGAGACCGGGTTTCTCTAAGTTGGTTAGGCTGGTCTTGAACTCCCGACCTCAGGTGATCCACCCGCCTCCACCTCCCAAAGTGCTGGGATTACAGGCTTGAGCCACTGCGCCTGGCCTTAGAGTTTCCTTCTTGATTTCCTATGGGATACGTGTTTTCCGTGCCTGGCCAGCACCAATTCTTCTCATTCTGAGGACCCACTCAGATTTCCTTTTAAGAAACTATTCCCCTCATTCCATATTCAGTCCTTCTGAAAGGCAAGCAGGGTCTGGTCAGGGCCTCCTCTGAAAAAGGAGGCAGGCAGACATTCACACTTGGCAATTAGACAAGTTTTTCCCTCTAGATGCGGTGACTGGTCCAAGGATAAGACTTTTGCAAGAAATTTTAGGGAGAGAAGATTTTGTTCCTTTGGCATTGCAACTATAAGACGATTTCAGCCCAGTAATGCCAGGGGCCACCACGAAGAAAGGGCCTGCCTAGAAAGGAAGCCAACCCAGGCAGAGGCAGGAAGCCAAAGGCCAGAACCAGCCCCAGACTTTTCAGTTACTTCAGTCAATCAGTTCCTATTTTTTGCTTCCACCCTGCTTGTCCTGGCTTTTCTGTTATACATGCCTGAATAAATCCTAACGGATACAAGTCACCTCCATCTGGGCAACCTCCAAAGCTTCAGATTTCCTATATATCACTGACATTCCTTCACTGCATACTCTGTGCACTTTATCTCAATTTATCATTCCCATATTGCCCTGGCACCGGTCAGAACCATTGCTGCTGAAATGAACCCTTCCTTATGTCACGTATTTTGTATGTATAATTTCTCAGGTATAAATTAAGTACCATCCTTTACATTGTAACTGGTTTCATAAATTGTTGTCAATTTTTAAACAAGTCTTTTATATACTTTGAACAGATGCTCATTACACAGGCCAACCACAAAACTGACCTTTAGTCCACTTAGTTTATCTCCTTATGCAGGTCCACAAATTAGCATGGGATCAAAAGCTCAAATGCCCACGTGATTAAGCTGGACTAATTATCATTGCTAATGAAAACGCTGCCACCCTGGTCGGTCCACTTTGGCTATTGTTAAAAGAACGATGGGCCTTTTCTATAAAGGATTACATCGCTGCTGGAAACCTCTGAAACTCTTCCTTACTTAACCCCAAACATACATCCCCCAAGAAGAGATTTTAGCAGAACACTCTTCCTTTTAATAAGAGCTGTCATTTCTCATCATACCATGTCTAAATTTGTTCAAATGTTTTCACTGATTTTCAATAATTTTGTTAAAAAGTTCTAGAAGAGGGAAGATACCGTAAGGAGCTCTAACATAAGAACAAGCTCATGCTCTACAAATTCAGTGTGCTTAAAAAGGTCTCTGAGAGTTGAAAGTAAACAGATGTCTTCAAATTTCTGCAACAGAAGAGAGCAATGCCAAAATAGCACACTGATGCAGAAAGCGACACTAATTACTGAACACAGGTATTTTTGGCATCTCATTTACAAAATCAAGATGGAGCTAAATCCACTGGAATGGAATATCATACCTGTACTTGGTTTACCTGTAGATAGGCATCCCATGTAAATTCAACCATGCACAGCACAATCTATGTAGTACAGAGGGCACTTCTGAAGGCAGGAGAGCTCACTATCAAACAGGCCCACAGAAGAATGTAGGCTGTGGGGTTTGATGCTCTTCTTTCAGTCTTCTTAATTAGAACCTAAGTCTTTATGAAGTCATTTCTAAATTAAATCTTTCTCTGTTCCCTAAATTAAATCCTTCTCTGTTCCCAGCTTCAAACCTCACAGGCATGGCAGGAATTAACATTTTTATTTATTACTTTAAAAAATGTATTTTGTTTCTCAGCTCCTGCCAATTGTAGAGTTGCTGTCAGAGCACAGACTTGATCACACATTTGATAGAAAATTTTAAAATTATCCAGTGTGATTTTATTTATTGCTAGGGAAGGTGAAGTTGACTTTGGGATTGTATGAGGAAGACACAAAATATTAATCCCCAGCTGTGTGTTAATAATATTGTGGCCAAGTTTTTAATTTTGTGCTGTTTAAATAATTAGTAACTGTATCAATAAGTCAATTACTATAACAATTTGTAGTCTCATACAAAGAGAGAGATAATAGTAAAGAAAAAAAATGAATGAATGAATCAATCAATCAAGAAAGTTGGCTGAGCAGAGGAAAGCTCATTTCACCAGTGATGTTTAATGAGCATATAGCTTGGGCAAGCCACTTCACGTCTCTGTGTTTCGTTTTTCTCACCTAATGGGACAGAAATAGCCGTCTTGTCTGCTGCCATGCCTCCTCTCAGAGTCACTGTCAGTATTCATTTTATATTCAGAGTTCTCAGGACAGTGCCTAGTTATGCAATGTGTTCTCTAAATGGTAGCCATTGTTGATCTTATTAATTTAGCAAAATTACTTAAGTACAGATGACATATTTATGTTTGCAGCCTGCTATTATACTCTCCCAGAAAAATTTGTAGATGTATCCTTTCTGGCTCAGATGAGTTCACTCAATCTTCCAGCTCACCTCCATTTATGTTTTTTCCATTTTTTTTTTTTTTTTTTTTTTTTTTTTTGGTGACGGAGTTTCATTCCTATTGCCCAGGCTGGAGTGCAGTAGCGCCATCTTGGCTCACTGCAACCGCCACCTTCCGGGTTCAAGCAATTCTCCTGCCGCAGCCTCCCGAGTAGCTGGGATTATAGGCGCCTACCATCACGCCCACCTAATTTTGTATTTTCAGTAGAGAAAGGGTTTGACCATGTTGGCCAGGCTCGTCTCGAACTCCTGACCTCAGGTGATCCGCCCACCTTGGCCTCCCAAAGTGCTGAGATTACAGGCGTGAGCCATAGCACCTGGCCTCAAGTTTTTCCTTCTAAGGACTTTCAGTGTCAGTAGGATCAGATGTTTGTCAAAAGCATACAAAATTTCCTACTAGATTAGGAAGTTCCTGGTATTTTGCTTACAATTTGTTGGCCAAGACTATATACCTTACAACACTTACTGATATTCTGTGCAATGGTCACTGATCACCTCTGCCCCTGTTCTGTCCACTGCTGGCACATTTCACAGAAGAGCAGAGTGGAGAAAAGACGACAAAGAAACACACCCACTGTGCAGAGACCTTCATGACACACGCAACTTGCATAGAATTCCGTTCTTTTCCAGCAGAGCCACTGCAATCTGTAGGACAGACAGCAGGGAGCACCTTACGAAACACCTCTAATGCCACGGGGAATTTCAGTCCAGGTGCAGGTGGGAGGAAGCCAGCTGGCCAATGATCTCATCCTGTTGGGGTCCCAAAAGATTTTAATTCAATAACTAAAATTATACAGACAAATGCTACAGCGTAACAGTAATTTCTTTAAAAAGAACCAGAGCCAGTTTATTGCCAGTGATAGTACATTCCAGTGGGATAGACTATATTAAAATTGAAAAAGAAAATTTTTTTTTCAAGATTATACTTTGACAAAGCAGAGGCTGACAACTATCCTAGTCATTCCCTAATGAATCCAACGATCTCGAACTCACAAACAGATTATCATGTAGCGCGAGGCTGTCTGGCCCTGTGAAAAGGGGAATTTCAGACTGTGATAAAGTCATAGAGCTCTTCAAACTGAGAGGGACTTAAATTCACCTTCATCTAATCCCCAGACTTCCACTGCAGCCAGCTGACTGTGAGCTCTGAGAAGGGGCTAGGGGAAATGAGGAAGACGATGGAAGCACGGTGTCCACCTGCTGTACAATGCCACAAGCCAAGAAGAATCCCACTGCCAATCTTAAGAACAGGAGGGCATCAGTTGTAAGATGCGCTCCGATCACAGGGACATCAATATGTGAAAACTGTACATCCAACAACTCAGTGGCTCTCAGCCAGGGTGGTTCTGCACACCAATGAACATCTGGGCAATGTTTAGGGAGGCTTCGTTGTCACAAATGGGAGGTGTCACAGCAGTTATCTAGTGGGTAGAGACCCAGGATGCTGCAGAACTCCCTTAAAAGGCACAGGAAAGCCCCTACAACAACAACAAAAAATGAGCTCAAAATGTCAATAGTGTTGAGGTTGAGAAACCCTGATGTAACTGACAAAATGTGGTACTTTGTTTGCTGCTGGAACCAAGGCATATAGCACCTGCTCAATATATATTCAACGAAAAAAAAGTTAAATTACTTTTAATGTAAGAGAACTAAAGGAAGTATAAGGAGATAACCCAGATCTGAAACTGCTACCTACACTCTGGCTTCTCTGTTTTCTCTATTCTTCAGACTAGGGAGGGTGATGACCTCTATCCCATTAGTTAAGCAGCAGTTATCCAATCCTCTGGGAGCATAGGCCCTGCCATTTCATTCATGCTTTTTCAAAGGGACCCACACTAAGTGACTCGTATAAGAAATTTTGACGTACCCCATGAAGAGAGTAATATTTTAGGGCATGATGGTGACAGTAAATCATTAACATGATAAAAGCTCCCCTGTATTAAGAACTTTTTCACTGCCATGTGTTCTTCAGTATTGCCCAGGCAATGTAAACTTACAAGGTAAAAATTATTATTATTATTTTGAGACAGAGTCTCACTCTGTTGCCCAGGCTGGAGTGCAGTGGCGCGATCTTGGCTCACTGAAACCTCTGCCTCCTGGGTTCAAGCGATTCTCCTGCCTCAGCCTCCCAGGTAGCTGGGATTAAAGGCCTGGCTACTTTTGATATTTTTTAGTAGAGACGGAGTTGCGCCATGTTGGCCAGGCTGGTCTCGAACACCCCTGACCTCAGGTGATCCACCTGCCTCAGCCTCCCAAAGTGCTAGGATTATAGGCGTGAGCCACCACGTCCAGCCTATTACATGTATTTTTGTCAGCATTTTTAGAAAACAGGTTCACAACAACTGATATGGCAAAATTCCTAAGACAGGATGTGGTTAGACCAAAAACTCCAGAACTCCAACCCCTAATGCAATTCCCTTCCTACTACAAGAATCTGTATCTGTTTTTCACGTAAGGATTTTTCTGTGTTTGGTACCTGAACATCAGGAAAAAAAAGTTGTCATGAAAACACAAAGACTTATACACAATTCACTTGAACTTTATAATGACCAACAAGCATACCTGGCGTAAAGTCCCCATTCTGCACCTGGCAAGGAGATCTGCACCCAGATGTGAGACAAATCTGTATACACTGGCCTGCATATCCTAGGGAGAATACTAGCCTTCTTCCTACTGGCATACAATACTTAGAAAGACTGAGATGTCTATTTAAAGGAGATTTCACTCATTTCTTCATATCATGTTTGGGAAGGAAGTTTGCTAAGTCATATAAAAATTATATTTTCTATTCTCTGGGACAATTTTAAAAAAGACATTTAATAGAGAAGCAATACTTTTGAGATTTGGGGCAAAGTTTCTATGTTACAGTAAACATAAATGTAACAGAATTGTCCAGGTCAGAGTTTAAGACTTAGCTCTTCTGGCTAATAGCTGTGTAATAGCTGTGTTCACAAACCTCTCTGAGTCTCAGTTTCTTCATCTCTTAAAAAAAGTGAATTCATGGTCATCATCATTAACTATCTCAAATAACGGTTAGGAGAATTAAATAAGATATGCAAATGTGCCTAACACAGGTCTCATTATGAAGTGAACAATAAATATTTGTTGAACCTAAAATTGACTCAATAATATAGACAAAATGAAAAAAGGGCCATGGGGTACACTCACATGAGTGAATGGGGCTTGGTCTAATTTTTGTTTTCTCTTATTTAATAGGTATATGAAGAAAATAGGCATTTCACTTCCTCTTAACTCTGCTGTTTGGAAAATGACAGCAAATGTGGTGACAAATAGAAACTGCCTCTGAGTTAGAAGGCAGTACAGATGGCTGAGGACCATGGCTCCTGGGAGAGCACCCAGGTAAAGGGAATAGCTCCAACATGGCCATGGCCAATTTCTGTTTATGATGCAAAACTAACTTCCTTCCTTTTTTTTTTTTTTTTTAGACAGAGTCTCGCCCTATTGCCCAGGCTGGAGTGTAGTAGCGCGATCTCCGCTCACGCAACCTCCACCACAAGGGTTCAAGTGACTCTCCTATCTCAGCCTCCCAAGTACCTGGGATTATGATGCCTGCCACCGCGCCTGGCTAATTTTTTGTATTTTTAGTAGAGACAGGGTTTCACCATGATGGCCAGACTGGTCTCCAGCTCCTGACCTCAGGTAATCCACCCGCCGCGACCTTCCAAAGTATTGGGATTACAGGCATGAGCCACCGCACCTGGCCAGCATTCTGGCTTTCTAAAGAAAAAAAAAAATCTATTCTTACATGCTGGTTAGCAAATCAAATATTTCTTTATAAACAAAGCATAAGCCAATAGAGTGTGAGTCAAACTTCTTAAGAATGAAAAAAACTGTTTTTAAAGACCAAAAAAAGGGGAAGTTGGAGGGAGACTATTGATCAAATTTCAATGGTTAGTTCAGCAAAATGTCATATTTTATGGCATCTATAAATCACGACCTGTTTTTTTGTTTTGTTTTGTTGAGATGGAGTTTTGCTTGTCGCCCAGGCTGGAGTGCAGTGGCGCTCTCGGCTCACTGCAACCTCCGCCTCCTGGGTTCAAGAGATTCCCCTGCCTCAGCCTCCCAAGCAGCTGGGGCTACAGGCATGCACCGCCATGCCCGGCTAATTTTTTGTATTTTAGTAGAGACGGGGTTTCATCATGTTGGCCAGGACGGTCTCGATCTCCTAACCTCATGATCTGCCCGCCTCAGCCTCCCAAAGCGCTGGGATTACCGGCGTGAGCCACCATGCCTGGCCTAAATCACTGACCTCTTAACTGATCATCTGACTCTCTGAGATTATCCCTGATAGAGAATCATAATAATGAGAGTCATAGATTTCAGGCACTGGGCGAAGCCCTTTACATGGATGAAGCATGTTGGACGACTGCAGGACAATGGTTGCTGGATTATTATGACAAGTATGGCAATTATTGCACTCATGAATGATTATCACCTTGGATCCACACAACAAGTTTGTGAGATGGCAGTATTCTTTCCATTTAATACAGGAAGAAGAGTGCACAGAGCTGTAAATTAACTTGCCTAAGAAGAGTCAATAAGTAATGGCTGCTGTTGGGATCAGAATGTCAATGTGTCTGATCTCAACTACAGAACTCCTTCCACCAGACCACATTGGTTTGACCATCATATAAGAAGCATCTAACGCAGCACTTTGGGAGGCCGAGGCGGGCGGATCATGAGGTCAGGAGATCGAGATCATCCTGGCTAACACGGTGAAACCCCATCTCTACTAAAAATACAAAAAAATTAGCCGGGCATGGTGGCAGGCGCCTGTAGTCCCAGCTACTTGGGAGGCTGAGGCAGGAGAATGGCATGAACCCAGGAGGCGGAGCTTGCAGTGAGCCAAGATCGCGCCACTGCACTCCAGCCTGGCCAACAGAGCGAGACTCTGTCAAAAAAATAAAAAATAAATAAATAAATAAATAAAAGCATCTACTGAATCCATAGAAATCAATAAAAACCAGAATAAAATCCCCTTGAGAAATGTGTAATTCTACCAAGAGAACAAAACAAGAAATCATCACAAGACACACAGAGCACATGCCAAATCAGATGCAAAAACAACCAGGGCAGAAAGGAGGAATCAGTGAAGGAGAAAAAAAATCTTGGCACTTCCTTCAGAGTATCCTCACTGCTATGAGATTAATTGTTCTGAAGTCCAGCATTTCTCAAGTTTCATTCATTCATGCATGACCTCTGCCAGCAGTGCTATCTCACCTATCTACTAATTACGCACTCAGTATTTTGCTAGGAAAGGTTATTTTTCATTTAAAGTTAAAGAAGGTGCAGAAAAGTAAGTAATGCAACCACATTAAAAACAAGTCAGTGCCTGGGCACGGTGGCTCACGCCTGTAATCCCAGCACTTCATCCACCCAGCGAGGCAGGTGGATCACCTGACGTCAGGAATTCGAGACCAGCCTGGCCAACCTGGTAAAACCCTGTCTCTACTAAAAATACAAAAATCAGCCAGGCATGGTGGTAGGTGCCTGTAATCCCTGCTACTCAGGAGGCTGAGGCAGGAGAATTGCTTGAACCTGGGAGGCAGAGGTTGCAGTGAGCTGAGATAGGTCGCCACTGTACTCCAGCCTGGGCAACAGAGCAAGACTGTCTCAAAAAAAAAAAAAAAAAAAAAAAAAAAAAAAAAAAAGACAAGTCAGTAAGGAAGCCAAGACATGGACCCCACCAATACTTCTTTCCATTCAATTCAAAAGTTATCCAAAATGTTACTCTCTTTCTCCATCAAACATGGGTGGACATTGCAAAGCCCATGGAGCTGCACATGGTGCTCCAGCTGCAGAAACTCCATCTCTTCATGAAAGGGCAAAACAGAGTTCCCTATTTAGCTTTGCAAAATAAATGATTACTTCTCAAATAATAAAATCTAACATTTTATTGGACCTTTTGGATCAATGCAGGAGAATAAAGTTAAATATAACTCTCAAACCATTTCATGTACTATTATTGAAAACTAGAAACCCAACATTTCAGAAATAGAGTATGGATTATCTTCTCCCAAAATGCAGCACCTTACTTCTTTTACATGGCTAAACCTTAAACAATCTTATAAAATCTTCAGCAGTTTCTGTGTATTTGCCTGGCATTTTCCTAGGATGACAGATTTAGCAATCTATCTTCACACTGCGATTTTATTAAGCACTGGCTTTTTCTTTAGGTTCCATCACTTACGACTTTTTATGAGCCCTGTGCATATTTACTCAGTTTTGCTATGTAAGCATCCTCTTTCTAAGCTTATGGGAGGCAAGGAGCTTGTTTGAGGTCTGCTTAGAGGCACTTCATGTCAAATTATTCCACTGAGCTTTGCAAACCTCGTGTGAGTAAATATAGGGCTGCTTTCTATCAGAAAACAGTGTTTTATTTTTAAATGCTTCCTTAAGTTGTGCAAAAACTGCTCCTAAACACACTACAAGTGTGACTGCCAGTTTGAACGGGATCCAAACAACTGTCAAAATGGTGAGTGTGGACATCGCGCCTGTACCCAGTTCCGGTTTTCCCAGGTGCTGCAGTAATTTAAACGTATTATAATGGAAATCACAGATTTATGCTGAACTGCAGGGGGTGATCCCAAGCAAATATGATTGATGTCTGAATCTACTTTTCCATTCATAAAGCTCAGTTTTTACATCAGTTATTATGGGAATTAATGGCCGCTCATGAAATATTTCACCCCCAAAGCAAAAATCTCGAAACCAATTATACCTGGATATTGAATAGTGAAAATGTTAAGCAATGCTATTACTTTTTTCTCATTCCAGAAGATGTACCTGTTAATTTCTCCTAGAAAAAAAGACAACTATAATGAAAATTTTCATTTTCCATTTAGACTCAGTTTATAACGTAGCGTAAGCATTAGACTCTGCATAAAATATAGAGCAACAGCAAATATTTCAACTGACCGCACCTTAAGTGAAAAAAACAGGTACAACTTTCATTAGCAGACACTTCTGAAAGGTTATTAGGAAAAATAACTAACATAAGCGGAACACTTACACGTGTCAAACACGGGGATATTCATCATAGAGGGCTGAACGCAAAATCAATTTCCCCTCTCAACTGGCATTTACAGATTCCTCAAGAACACCTAAAATTGAATTTGATTCATAATAAATTTCAATTTACATCAAACTCCAGGGAAATGTATGAGGCATAGCAAAAGTCCTTTTCCAGATCAGAAAGTTACTAATTTGCAGGATAAGATGGTGCAAATGCCTTCTTAAAACCCATTTTCAAAGTTTATGGTCATACAAACAACTTTATACACCCGTATCATGTGGTTATCCAACCAAATATAAAAAAACTTTTAAAGTAAAAAAAAAAAAAAAGGAAAAAGAAAAAGGGGTGATAAGCTACCCAGAAAACAAACATACATGTTAAAGCTTTGATAAAATGACTCATTCGGATTTAGTTAACCACAGAGAAAGAAATTTAAATGCAAAGGAAGAGTATTTTTTAAACTTTCACTAAGATAAGATAGATAACTTCAAATGCAGTCTTAGAACAGTGGGAAACCTTAAGCCCAGACTGAAGGAAAAGTCGGTATTATAGTTTTAAATTCCAATAAAAGCACTCATGGCAAAATTCTGTTCTAAGATAATTCACTGAAGGGGGAAAAAAAAAAACCCCAAGATCAAATGCAGGATTGTTTTTCCTTTTCATTTACAGCTTAAAAGCTTCTTGGCAGCACCAGTGATCTATCAGAAAGGGTGAAAAATTGTGCTTAATAGATAATTTTAAGACTTTACTCAAAAGACGTTAATAAATATACTGGAGCTGGGAGGTGGAAGTGGCACAGCAGTTTGATGAGCACAATGTTCTCCTTTTGCCGTCACCTGTTATAAATCTGAAACTGTGATCACTCTGACTGCATGTTTCTTGCCTCTAAAATAAGCAAGAAGCTGTGAAAATGTTTCCAAGTTTCCAGGCCTCAAAGAAAAGAAGAGAGAACTTATGAAGTATGATGGCTTCAGCTGCCTTCATCAGAGTAAAGTTGGTTTTACATTATTTTTAAGCATTTGTTCTAAATAATGAAAATACGATCAGCCTTAAATCCTCAATGAAGGGTATTTCAAATGGCTTCTAAGACTTGGGATCTGATAATATCTAGAGACAGCCTCACCCAGAAACTGGGTTTGGTTTACAAGAGAATGGTAACTCCATGTCTGGGATGTGAAAGAGCACGAGGAACCTTGCACAAGCTACCACGGGATTCAAAAGGACACTTTGCGACAGCAGTGAAACCAGGGTCAAAATGAAATGGCCAGCAGTTCTCACATTAAAAGGAAGGCCAGGGACGCCAAATCTGGTGGGCATATTCAAGCACTTTGCTTGCCTAGGTTGACTCTCCAGAAAGCAATCTCTCACACAGGTTAGGTCTCCTTGAAGGTTTGCATCTTTCAAGGAAAGACTTTAGCAACTGAATATCCCCAGTGATTTCCTTTGATGCTACATCTCATCTAAATGACAGGGCAACGGTGCACTACATTTAGAGAAGACGATTCCCATTTTAGTTCATAGCATCCCCGAGGGATGTCTCAAAAAAAAGCCTCCTCTGCCTGGTCATCTGATTCGCAAGATACCTGTGGGGATTAAAAGCATTTCTGCTGTGTACATCACTTGTGTGAACTTCTTCAAGGATCAAGTTCTGCTTCTAAGCCAAACATCCTATTCCCTCATATGGCTTTTATAAGGGGATGTTTTCGCAGTGGTTGCTTTTGATAAAGTAAAATCACAGAAGGTATTCCTCCTCCATTATCACTTCTGGTAATTCTCTTCATGTGTCAGCTATAAATAACACACAATTTCCACATCCAAAACGTAAGGATTTCAGACGCCATAACCTAAAGCCCTCACAGTGTTAGGAAGAACTAAAAAGCGATGATCCCCTTTCATAGTAGACATGTTAAGGAAAAAATTGGAGCTACACAGCTACAATGAAAATTAGCCCATCTCAACACACAGCTCTTGCTCTGGCCCTCATCTGTACCTCCAGCAGACCGAGCACAGCTCTGTTTTGACCAGTAGGGGGCGGGTAGGGGGTTGAATGTGACTACTTTCTGGCTTTTATTTATTTGATGCACAGTAAACTATGATGATGCCCATGGTCCCACCTGGTCAAAGCCAAGCTAAAAAAGTCACAAATAAATACAGTAGAGCTTAATGATTACTCAAGAGCATGAGTTCTGGATTCAAGTCACCTGGTACTGAATCTCATCTCTGAAAAGAATTCATGGGCAAGTTACTCACCTCACTTAAAGAGGATAGAACTAGTACCTGTCCCACAGGGTAATTGTCTTAGTCTGTCTGTGCTGCTGTAACAAAATTCCTGCAACTGAGTAATTGATAAAGAACAGAAATCTATTTCTCATGGTCCTAGAAGATGGGACGTCCAAAGTCAAGGCACCAACAGGACTGATGTCTGATGAGAGCTGTTCTCTGCTTCCAAGATGGTGCCTTGTATTGCAATCTCCAGAGAAGAGGAACGCTGTTTCCTCATGTGGCAGAGGGAATAGAAGGGCAAGACAGCACTTCATTCAACTTTAATCTCTTTTATAAGGGTAGTAATACCATTCATGAGGGCAAAGTCCTCATGACCTCATCACCATCCAAGGCCACACCTTAATACTTTTACACTGGGGATTAAGTTTCAACACGCATTTTGAAGGGAACACCATCATTTAAACCAAGCAGTTATTAAATTAAATATTCTATATGAAGTGCTCAGAACAATGCCCAGGACAGACAGGATTAGGTGAGGTTGGCTAATATTAATATAATTCTAAGATATACATACTTTATATATATGATGACTTCTTGGATTTGGGACATCTTGCAAATATACAGAAATTACAACATTAAAAAAAAAAAAAGGTAAGGGACTCCGAGAATAAGAATACGATTAAAAAAAGATATCAGCAGTAAAGTCAGTGGTCAATATAAAGCCCTACATGGCACAAGTATACTAACAGTGGTATAAAATGTACCACTGTCCAGCTGCCCTTATGCCTAAACTGTCTACACTGCTTTAGGTAGTGTTTCTTTTTGCATCTGGAGAAAGATCAAGAAAGTTCCTTTCTTCTGCCTGCCATGAAGTTTGTTTAATATGTATTTTTGGTGGGGTTGGGTGTGTGAGTCTGTATGTGTGCACGTGCGTAATTTTGCCATGTTCTGTGCCACACAGAAAGAAATTGTAGTCAAGAGTGTGGAGAAGACAGGATGTCCATCAAAAGCACACGAAGCAGGACGTATTCTGTCCATCTGTTACTTGCAAAACTGAGAAGCTGTGCTCCATTATGTAGATCACACTTTTAAAGAATAAATGAGCAAACTGGAATGTGTTTGGAGGTGAGAGACAAGGATGGGGGAAGGACCTCAGCTTATGAAAATGCACAACAGTTAAAGGGAATGTGGGTGCTGGGCCTGGTGTAGGGAGAGGCGGAGATGGGGGCTGCACGTGGCAGCTCTCTTCAGAGCCAGTAAAGGCACATGTGTGGGAAGGAGAGGAGGATGTCTGTAAACCCCTGGAATGGAAAGAAGAGCTGTGAAAGGAAGGTGGAAGGGACGTGTTGGGAACTCCGCACTCAAGAAGTTCCAAAGAGGAGATGAACTCCATTTCATTCATTCATTTAAGCAACGCATCCCATGCATCATGATGTGCCAGCCACTGATTTGAGCACCAGGGGCATGATACACAACAGGACAAATAAGCTCCCCATGGTCAGAAGACTATGTCAATTTATTTCAACAAAATAAGCAATAGAACCCCCAGGTCAGTGGCTGCTGGCCACCCAAGTTTAAGACTACATGTCCCAGCTTCCCTTGCAGCTAGGGATGTACATGTGAATAAATTCTGACCAATAGGACAAGAGTGGGAGCAGCACACACTCTTAAAAGGGAATGAGACATACTCTATACTTTGTACCTTCCAGCTGGCCACAATGCAGATATGATGGCAGGAACTGGGGTCCCCACCTGTGATCATGAGACAGGTGGTGGACAACACAGGAGCAAGATAGGCGTAGTCAGGATCAACTCAACATAGTCACCAGATCAGCCCTAAATTGCTGGAGGACAGACTACTAGATGAGAACAAAATTCAGCATATCGTTAAAAGTCACTGTTACTTGGACTATTGTTACAGCAGAAAAACAGGATTGCAAATGCACACACCGAGAAAAGATATTTAAATTTTGTGAATAGCACAGTCAGTATTAGCAAATCCAAGTTTTAGAGCAAATGCAAGGATATAATCCACTCTGCAGATTACTTAAGCATCCATCTCCTAGGGCATTCTGACATACACCAGAATATGCAGTGTCAGTGATTCTAATTAATACATTTAAAAATATATACACATCTCTATATATGCATATATAAAACTTAATGTGATGAGAGCTACGCTTAAGACTGGCACCTTTCTTTTGTTCTTGTTAGAATACACATCCCCACACCACTGAAAGTCTAAACACCCTGTAGAACAAGCTAAATGTCCCCACAAAGTGAGGAAATTGTAGCTGCATCTTTAAGCCCATAAAATATTCAGACACGAAAACACAGGTGCAGGAGCGAAAGCATGAGCCTGCCTGACCCACATGTGGCTCACTTGCAGAGAGGAAATTTGCTTTCCCTGGGCTTGATGGCACAGATATCTAATGGGGTGAATTTCTGCAGTGGAGACTATTTTCAAACTAGCTGATCTACTGATTACATGTTTGATATAAATGCCAAAGAAAGAAAAAACTGGTATCATTGAGGAGACAAGGCAGAAATCTGTTTGATTATCTCATCATTTCCTATGGCTACTGGTGAGATACAGTATCTAAAAAACACTCTAGAAAATGGAGAGGAAACCATGGGACTAGAGAGCAGTGGAAGGGGCGTCAGTGGCCACCGTCAATGTTGAGTCACACTCTGATGGTCTTAGGTGACCCTTTACAAAAGGTCATTGCTACCAAGTAAAGCATGGAGGAGTGACATGGTAATAATCAATTAATCAATTAGTGGAAATTGTTATTAACAGTCAGCACTTCCATTATCACTTACACTCACCAGACACCAGAAGCAACGTATGCTTGGTGGGGAATCTCATTTTACCCCCTGAGCTGTGAACTCTCATCATGACTATTTTATAGATGAGAAAACTGAGTCTTACAGTGGTTTGTTATTTGTTCACAACATATTTAATGAGTGCCCATCAGGTACCCAGTACAATTAATAGTTGAGAGCAAAAAAGAATAAAAAAGATCTCTGCCATCACAGATCAGCACTCTTACTGCAGAGGGGACAAAATCGTATCTCAGCATCATTTTGATTCACCACCAGGTTTTTAGGATTTTGTTACTACTTTTTAACCTGAAGTTGAAAAGAGAAATGTACCTTTCCACATAGACCCCAGCTCCACTATTTCCTACTGTCTTTTACCTTTTTGTTTTGCATATTTATGCTTTCTGAGGAACTCCAACAGACATTTGCTTTGGGGACCCCAATCACAGGATCGCAGCAGAGGCTGTGCTCAGTTTTGCTTGTCTGACCACAAATTCTCAGCCATATGGGTTTCAGACAGCCAATTTAACCATTTTGGACTTTTTAGCTAAAAGTGAAGTAGCAAGTGGGGGGTTTCATTCATTTATTCTAGCCCCAGTCTTGGTCCAGATTAGTCTTCCTCAAGGCTCTGCGGCACTGCCTGCCTCCCATGAAATACTGAGACAAGGAGAACACGAGAATGCTGCGCCTGAAAAACCCATAAGGGAAAGCCAATCAAGATCAAAGCAACTGTGAGAGAAACTGAATTGTTTCTGACCAAGATTTTGGTGGTGGTGGTTACAAGTTTTGAGTCAAAAGACATGGGTTCAAAACCCACCTTTTGCCCTTACTGTGCAATTCTGCCAAGTGTCATGACCTCTCTGGGCTTCCATGCCCTCAGCTGTGAAGTGAGAATATAATGCACTACAATGCTAGCTTGAAGACTTGCTGTGATAATGCAAATGAAAGCATGAAAACAGCGCCTTGCACACAGTAAGAACTCAGCAAGTGACCGTATTAGAGGTTTTTATATTCGACCCTTTTAAAGGCTAGTGTCAAAGGTACTTGGTCAGCTCATGTGGGGAAGCTTATAATATATTTAAGTATTCATAGTCTCCTACATGTTCCCCCTGGCTAAGACGCCTGAGGCTGCTAGAAATAATCACACTATTTGTGATCCTATGTTTATGCAACAGAAATGAAATGGAATTTTATGGTCTGTTGTGTTCAACACCGATGCCCACATTGGGATAATTCCATGCAGTGCTGCATTACAAGAATCTATGTAATATCCAATCCAAAGATGCAGCTCTCAGGTCACAAAGCTTTACCAAACCATTGGCTTCAGAAAGGAGCTAGTTGGTCCCACACCTGCAGACCCCATCTGACACACACTTAGTGGTAGATATATAATTGACCTGGAGAGTAAATCTAAGCTAATTCATTTTTTAAAAGCAAACAGATTTTGGCAGGGGAAAATATTGTTAGCAAAAAACATGTTTTAAATAGTAAAAAAATAAAAAATGAAAATACAAATGATGAATGTCATGAGTACAATAAAGGTTGACCATTCCTAAGAAAGGAAGACAACATAGAAGAGCAATGTTTCAACCAGAAGCTTCAAAAACTTTAGGACCAAAGGTCTGGCTTTGGAGCTAAGAACAGAAACACGATTTTGTTATTAAACATGAGAGTTTGTCATAACATCCACTCAACAAATAACATGGATCAGACAATGAAAAATGATAATATGGTCATCATCCTTGAATGAATCTCCTGGTGTTTTTGTTTTTGTTTTTGTTTTGAGGGGAATGGAGGTGGTTGGATATTCTTTGAAGCCACCAGAAAGTAAACAACATAGACTCAGTTGTGCGTTTGATCATGTTAGATCATAAACTTAAATTAGTAAAGTCAAGGTTAGAAGAGGGTGGGAAGGCAGCTCTAAGAGGACACGGGGTCTTGACTTGTGTAAGAGCAGTAACCCATTTGGGCCCGGGACACACAGTCCCTCGCCAGCAGATCCAGTGAGGTTAGCTTAGCTCCGGAGGCAGCACGGGTAACGTGGCCATGACTTAGTAAGGGAAGAATCAAAAAAGACTGTGGACATACCACTACCACACATGAAACAGAAGAGCAGTGTGTCTGTGCCAACATTATTCTATTTACCAAATATCATCAAGCAGGATTCCAGAAAAACGGCAGCAAAGTAACTTGGAGTTAGCCACAACAAGTAATAAACCTTTAAGCAGAACTGTTGAGGGTGAAAATGCGCTCAACATCGCAAAACCTTCCAGAGCCTTCCAGGCACAGGTAGCACAGAACAAGAATGCAAATCAGAACAGAGCAAAGTGGCCCAGCAGTGAGTGCTGCAGAAGCAAAATGAGCAAAAGCAAACAGAGAAGATCAGGTTGGGGAGGCTGCAGGAACCACAGCACATGGCCCACGGGCAGGAAGGAGCTTTGGGCCCTTCTAAGCAATGAATTAGGCGCTGCACTCTGTCACCCAGGCTGGACTGCAGTGGCGTGATCTCAGCTCACTGCAACCTCTGCCTCCCAGGTTCAAGTGATTCTTCTGCTTCCCGAGTAGCTGGGACTACAGGTGCGCCACCATGCCCGGCTAATTTCTGTATTTTGTATTTTTTAGTAGAGATGGGGTTTCACCATATTGGCCAGGCTGGTCTCGAACTCCTGACCTCGTGATGATCCACCGGCCTCGGCCTCCCAAAGTGCTAGGATTACAAGCATGAGCCACTGCGCCTGGCCGCACTGCCTTCTTTTACGTGCTCTCCTTTACAGTGGTTCGACAGCATAATTACCTATATTATTTCTCTAACTATAATTGTAATTTTGGAACACCCATAGAGGATGCCACAATGACGCTTGACTCCACAAAAAAGAACAACTGTACATCCAGAGCTTTAAGTTCTTGGGCTTTCACACTCTTTTCCTGTATTTTCCATCCTTTCCTCCTTGTAATTTGTCTTTAACTGGCAGATGAAGAAAACAGTTGTTCACAGTAACTCAAAAGTAAGACGCAACACATAAGATGCAGGTCTACATCCCAAAAGGAATGGAAGTGATAATCTGTGTGCTGGGAGCCCCTCATCACACTGCTGAGAAGACAGGGGGAGACGGAACTCTGACCTCCAGGGAATCACTGACATTCTTCCACGTGGAATTGTTGGAATAAACTCGTTGGTGTCCCTGGGTCAAGATACCTTTCAAAGTCACCCTTGAGGGTATGAAGCCACACAAAATACAAAAAATAATTTATATAAATACAAATCTTTTATATTCAAATCTTCCTAAAAACACACACAGCTGAAACAGGCAAGATGGCTGTCACCATCAAATTTTATATGTACAGCTGTATTTATAGATACAGTGTAGGTAGCTCCATCTTTATCTTTCTCTATAAATACTTATACTGGCAATTGTCAACCAGATCTTAGAGAATTTAAAAGCAATTTGTAGGAGTAAAAAGCAAAAAAAAAAAAAAATACCGCATTATCTGTTATTCTACCATTAAGTATGTCAATATCCTAGTATCCAGGGCAAGAAAGAGCATTACTAATAGTTTTAATTAAAACAAGATATTTCATTACTGACAATTCAATGTCCTTTATTTAGTCTAAACTGTTATCCACGACTCTCTGTGCATATGGTACAAATGAAATAAAGGAAGAAAATAAAAATCTTAATCAACTGCACATGTGAAAGCCTTAATGCAGCTCAAGGTCAAAAGGCTGACACGTTAGAAAGAACCCACTGCTCGCTCTTGCTCCTGAATCACTGCAGCCCATAGGGCTAGAGCGGTAGACATCTACACCGACTCTGAAGTGTGATGCCGACACGACGGCTCATAAACAACCTGTGCTCATTTTTCAAATGCACTCTATTCATCTCAGGTCACAGCTAAATGAGTTTAACAATTTAATTCATCACTTCTTTGGGCAGTAATCCACAATGAAAAACTCACATCCAAAGGACGGTTAGGTGCAATGCATGAACTTTGCTCAAAGGAAGCCCATTATGAAAAGCATATAGAACTAGAATGGGCTACTCAACTAAATGTTGAGTTTCAGTTGAGAAATGGAACTTTAGGACTAAATACGGGGTCACTTGAAAATCACTGGATTAAAAGAGAATGCCACTAAAGAAACGCTCGATCTGGTAAAAAGCAAAAGTATTTTTTTTTTCAAATTTAAACATAATTCTTCAGTAGCTAAAAATTTTATAATGTGAAATAGCACCTCGGTATTCATTCCCAGAGAGAGAACAACCTCTAGGAAAAATGTGGCTCAGAAGTCTCACATCTGTTATTTTAAAAAAGAAGGCTTTATGCATGTGTTAAATGGCTGACACATTTTTGACATGTTTTTGGTGATGTTAAATGTCACTTTAAATACCAAAACCTCAGGGCTGGGTATTTATTAAAGCATTTGGTTTTGGTTATGCCACTCTAGGGTTTCTCATTTGGGGCCAAAGACTCCTTTGCTGTGGGGGTTGTCCTTGTGCATTGTAGGATGTTCAGTGGCATCCCCGGCCTCTACTCGCTAGACTGCCAATAGCAACATCCTTCCCGTTGTGACAACCACACATGTCTCCATCCACTGCCAAATGTCCCCAGGAGTAGGGGAAGAGAAAAATCACCTTTAGTTGAGAACCACTGTATGACTCCAATCAACTGTTTTATAGTGAAATATTTTATTACATCTATAGACTGTCACAATACATCTGATACCTTTCTATAAATATATATCAACCCTGAAAAGAGATAAGACATTTTCATCCCCCTTATCTCCAGTATCTCTAGAAAATATATTTAAACTTTTAAAACAGAAGTAAAAACTGAAATGAAAAAAAAATCAAACCAGTGTTTTTGTCTTCTTAAAAGCATAGTATCACACTATAAAAGCTTTTGTTTTAGGGAGAATCCCAAATAGCATCCTATAATTTAAATGCTCATAAACTTCAGCAACATGTTCCAGAAAATACTGGCCCCATCCATGAAATCTGAATAAATACCCTCCTCATGCAGTCTGACAATTGCTATGACTTTTTCTTTCAGTAAATTCAAGCAATTTCATTTTTCAAGTAGAAAGTAGGGGATTAAAAAAATGGACTCAGGCAAAATAAGTCTGGTTTGGAAAATGTGATAGGGTTTCATTCCAATTCACTTAAGCTAGAAAACTGTCACATTCTAAGGTCTGTGTGGTTAACAAATATGGGGTCGCATTATTCTGCAGGAGAGACTAGGCATGCTGTATTTCACACTTACAAGGTTTCTTGGGCATGTTCCCAACTCATAAGAAGGAGAAAGAAACAAGGTATGAGCAACCAGAGGGAGCTTGAAGGCCACTCAACTCTCGGCTTCATCCTCCCTCTGACAGACAACATGACTGTGTGTGAGTCTCCTAACCTCCGGCCTCATACCCCTTATAGCAGAAGAGAAATAGTGCATAATCCATCATCAGGCTAATTTATCTTCTACCACAACTTTACAAAAAACTCTCATTCAGATTCAGCTAGGTGACCGGTACAGGAAAATCACCTGAGTTACAGATGGCTTTCTGACCACCGCCAACCACCTTCCTGCCCCATCCCTCTTTGAACGCACGTATACCTCACCTGGAAAGGGGGGAAAATGTCCACCTTTACCAATCAAACAATGATGAAATCTTTACAGAGGAACTGTATCTTCAGCTTCTATTCAACATCAAATGACTGCTGCATAAAGAAGATAATCCTATTCATAAAGCATAGAAATGACACAACTTTCAAGGAGGCCTCAATTTTATAAAGCAGCAACATCCTGTAGTGAGCTTTTAACCCTTGCAGACAAACCACACCAAACATAGCTCCAGGGTTATTCTGTCCTGGTTCTACTTAAAAGGGATCATTTTGCAGACTCACACGGTTAGCAGCAAACCACAGCCCAAATGAAATCATGCACTTCTCAAAACTCAGCCAGCAAGTCCGCATAAATGGGATAGAGGCTTCTGGCCCACACTCATGGCCAAGTTCATCCTGTTTCCATAGTACAGGATATAACAATTCTCAAAACAGCCAAGTGGGAGAGCTGCCCAACTGGCAGGGACCATCTCCAATAGGCCTCTCTCCACAGTTAACTCAAAACAGCACACCAGTTAATGAAATTCAAGGGACATTTGAGAGCTCGGCCTCCAAATGTCACACAAAGAAGACTGCAAGCACAGAGCTGTTGTCCAAGACCTGAAGATATACCATGAAACCAACCACATTTCCATTTAGCCAGGGATTTATTTCCCAGGGAAGCCCTCAGTGTTTTGTGGAGAATATATAGCTGGGAGGAAAAAAAAGTTCTTTATGCTTAGTAAGCTAATGTGCCTACCGATGGAAAAGATCAAATGAACAGAACAAAAATAGAAGCGGATTCTGAAATGGAATTTGGTTGCTTAACTCTGGAGTTTCCTGAATTCAGAAATAGAATCCAGACACTTGACAGTCATATGTACTCATGCAGTTGCACATCATGAACGATGGCAAATGATTTTCAAAATAAAGACAAGAAATGTCCTGTCATCTGCATGCACTACATTACAGGTAGAAAAGGACAACATGTACAGATTTTTTTTTTCTTCCCCCCGAACTGTTTTTTTCGTTTTTGTTTTAATTTCAACCTCCTAACACTATGAACACTGTCAGAACTTGCTGGAGGCAAAAAGGAGTAAAGAGGATCCTCTAAATAATTATGGTCCACTATGAACACTAAACACCATAAAATGTACTAAGATGTGGATTAAATCTGAGATATCACTACAAACTGGAATTATAATGGCATTTATATGAATGGGAGTCAAGGCTGGGCTACCATATTAATCTGTTCTTGCACTGATATAAAAAAATACCTTATGATGTTAGTGGAAGGAAGGAAGGAAGGAAGGAAGGAGGGAGGGAGGGAGGGAGGGAGGGAGGGAAGGGGAAGAAAGGAGGACTGAGACTGAGTAATTTATGAAGAAAAGAGGTTTAATTGGCTCACAGTTCTGCAGCCTGTACAGGATGCATGGTATTGCAACCTACTTGGCTTCTGGGAAGGCCTCAGTAAACTTACAATCATGGAGGAAGGTGAAGGAGAGGCACACGTATCACATGGCTGGAGTAGGAGCAAGAGAGAGGAGGGGGAGGTGCTACACACTTTTAGACAACTGGATCTCACTGTCACAAGAACAGCACCAAGGGGATGGTGCTAAACCATTCATGAAAAGCCACCCCCATGAACCAATCACCTCTCACCAGGACCCAACTCCAACACTGGGTACTACAACTGAACATGAGATCTGGGGGGAGACACAGATCCGAACCATATCAGCTACCAACCACTCAAGCTACTCTTTCTCCAAGTTTATTTCCATGGATTTCCTTAAAATAGCCCTCCATTACCTCTCCAGATCAGCATGTCTAAAACTTTACTGTGTCTGTGAATGACCTGCAGATCTTGCTAAAATGCGGTTTCTATTCTGATATAGTAGTTACAGGAAGGGTCTGAGGTTCTGCCATTCTAACAAGCTGGCAGGTGACGCTGGTGCTGCTGGTCAGAGAACCAGGCTAGGAATAGCCAGGAGCTCGAGTTCCTATGGAAACACTGCTGGTTACCTCATCAACAGGGATTTTGTTGGAACAGTAATGTATTCATCCCAAGGAATAAGTCATGCTCGGGACAAGCCAGTTATAAGAATCCTAATCCCCTCTGGTGAACACTGGCGTATAGGTTGGCAGGTGCTGCAACTTTGACCAATGATGATTTTTTTTTTTTTTAAAGATAGAGTCTCATTCTGTCACCCAGGCTGGAAGGCAGTGGCACAGTCTTGGCTCACTGCAACCTCCGCCTCCCAGGTTCATGAAATTCTCCTGCCTCAGCCTCCTGAGTAGCTGGGATTACAGGCACACGCCACCAGGCCCGGCTAATTTTTGCATTTTTGTAGAGATGAGGTTTCACCATGTTGGCCAGGCTGGTCTCGAACTCCTCACCTCAGGTGATCTGCCCATCTCAGCCTCCCAAAGTGCTGGCATTACAAGTGTGAGCCACTGCACCCAGCCCTGACCAGTGATTTTTAAGGAGAAGTTTGCTGGGCTTCCGGTGATGAAGAAGTTGTTTTTCATTTTCCCTCAGCTCCTGCTTTGGACTCTGCAATGTAAGGCCAGGCTCCATGAGGCTAGTGGAACCATTTTGGACCCACAAGGTGACAAGGATCAGGACAAAGGAACACACACAGAGGACAACAGAGAAAAAGCAGAAAAAGCACCAAGGTGATGGGTCAGCAGAATGCGGCCAATGGGCCAAATGCAGACTGCCATCTGTTTTTATAAATAAAGTTTTACTGAAAGAAGCCATGTCCATTTGTGTACTATTTATGATTCTGTCTTAAGTCACCTTGAGCCGCTATGACAAAATACCACAAACTAGGTGGCTTAACTAATAGAAATTTATTTCTCACAGTTCTGGAGGCTAGGAAGTCCAAAATCAGGGGACCAGTGTGTTCTGTGGGGTTCTTACAAAGATTTCAATATAACCTTCCTGGCTTGCAGATATCATCTCTCTTCTGACTCTTTAGACAAAGGCAATAATCCCATTTATGAGAGCTCCACGCTTATGACCTAATTACTTCCCAAATGCCCCACCTCCAAATACCATCACACTGGGGAGCAAGGCTTCAGTATATGAATTTCAGAGCAACAGAAACATTCAGTCCACAACAGTTGCTTTTTTACTACAATGACAAAGACAAATAGTTGCAGCAGAGACCATATGACCCTCACAAGCCTAAAACATTTGCTATCTGGCCCTTTTCAGAAAAACTTTACTGACCCCTGGACCAGAGGATTAAATCACCTACTCAAATACTTCATCCCATCTTCTGTTTCACTGCCATAGTATTTTCAGCAGGAGCAATTATTTCTTCCATAGCTGTCTTGTTCACTACTACATGTAAGTACTCAGCACAGTGACAGCACGTGGGAGATGCTGAACAATTTGTGCCAATTGTAATTAAGCTCATACTTTTTAATCAAGGTGCTTCAAAGTTTCCGTTTCCTTCTCTGGCTCTTCAATATAAGGCATTTATTTAGAATGTGCTAAAAATGACAGTGCTTAATATAACCTCCTGTTAATAACAATAGCCGGTTTTCTTCCACCACAAACTCCATTTCCTTCCTTCTGGGCTGGTGGTAGGCAGGATGGAATCCAGTTTCCAAATTAGGACTTGCCATATCCAGAAGCAGCTGACCCTGTGACCTGCAAGTGCAGGTCAGGATCTGCATGGTCACAGGACCATTCTGGCAGACAGAAGGACAGGCCACCTGACTGCCGGCCAACTGGAGCCATGGCACAGAGAGAACACACTACAGCAGTACACCTTTGAGGAAAGGAAAGTGAGCCCAAGAGGAAACATAAATTTTGAATAGCAGAAAAAAAGGAAAATCCAGTAGGAGATCCAACGATGGGAAAAGCCCTAGCTTTCTATAGCATAAGAACTAATACAGGATATCTTAAAGAAACCTCTAAAAATGTCTATGAAATTGTCTTATAGCAAATAGTATAATGGAAATGAATGTTTCTCCTAGTTATTCTCGAAGATGAATCGTTTACTTGATAAAATTAACAGTTAATACATCCCCTTTACTATATTTTATAGCATAATAGCATAGTGATAGAAAAACCAACAAAGCCGGGCACAGTGGCTCATGCTTATAGTCCCAGTGTTTTGGGAGGCTGAGGTGGGCCTCCCAAAATGCTTGAGCCCAACAGTTCAAGACCAGCCTGTGCAACATGGTGAGACCCTGTCTCTACAAAAAAAAAAAAAAAAAAATACAAAAAATAAACTGGACATGGTGGTGCTCATAGGTGGGAACTGTTCTCGCTCATAGGTGGGAACTGAACAATGAGAACACATGGAGACAGGAAGGGGAACATCACACACCGGGGGCTGTTGTGGGGTGGGGGGAGGGGAAGGGTTGGCATTAGGAGATATACCTAATGCTAAATGACGAGTTAATGGGTGCAGCACACCAGCATGGCACATGTATACGTATGTAACAAACCTGCTCGTTGTGCACATGTACCCTAAAACTTGAAGTATAATAATAATAAAAATAAAAAATAAAAAAAGAGTGTCTGCTTTTGGGAAAACGCTGGCGATTTCACGGAGCAAGTAAAGATATGCATAGGAACAGCAAATATGATGTACGGTTAAATCAATTCTTAGCACTTTTCTAAAGCCATCGCTTATTTTCACACAGCTCAGGGTCTCCACTGACACACGTGCAAAATAATGATTAATTTTGTGAAGTTTGGGGAAGACACAATAGTTAATGGGCTCAAATTATGGAAAAGTCAGAGCTGGTATGTCACAGCATTAACTTAATACATTTTAATCAGTACCTACTAAGCTCTAGGCAGTGGGAAAAGAACAGGGTAAAAAGAGTTAAATTCTATTGGAGAGTGTGAGACAACAATGATACAATACCTAGTGGGGATAATCTTTATGAAGAAAATTCAAGGCGTAGTGGGGCATAAGGGAATAGAGCAGGATAGAAATAATGTTTTAAAGAGGTTAATTTGGGTGGGGTATGGTGGCTTACGCTTGTAACCCCAACACTTTGCGAGGCCAAGCCAGGCAGAGTACCTGAGTTCTGGAACTCAAGACCAGCCTCGGCAACATGGCTAAACTCTGTCTTTACCAAAAATACAAAAATTAGCCAGGTATGGTGGCACGCACCTGTAATCCCAGCTATTCAGGAGGCTGAAGCAGGACGATCACCTGAGCCCAGGAAGCCGAGGCTGCAGTGAGCCATGATCACACCAATGTACTCCGGCCTGGGCCACAGAGTAAGAGCCTGCCTCAAAAGATAAAAGACCTGAACTGAGCTAAGGAGCAAGTTATATGACAGCTGAGGGTGAGGGAGAGCATGCTCCAGACAAGAAATAGTTAAGTGCAGGCTCCTGAGTCTGTACCAAAGAAGGATTCCCCTTAGGTCCTGCAGCAATAACAAACGCGCACAAGCGTACACACACACACACTCACACAGACACATTCCTACACAAGTGTATGCACCTACATGCTCCTGTCACTCCCTGTGCATCTCTGCTACTATTGCCAGCTTTCTTGTCCATCTCCCCAACCAGAGCGCACATCTTTTGAAGGCAGGAAGCCTGCATGCCAAGCATTTAGCACAAACATTCATGAAATGTGTGTTGAATGACTAAACGACCTTTCTAAGTGAACATGCAGGGCAGATATCCAGGAGAAGAATGCTTTCCAGAATTACTTGTGAATTGTATTTTACCTATGAATCAAGTCCCTTGAAGTGATTTTAGTACTTTTGGCTGAGAAATAGCATACTGCTGGGGAAAAGGAATCCTCAGGGCAGATCACATTCACTTAAAAGTACAGGGCTCACAAGCAGGATATGCCTGCAGAAGGAAACTCAACAAGCTGCAAAATGTTGACTAACTGAGTAAAATTTACATTTCTGGAAGAGCTTCCTTTATACTAAATCTAGGGTCATGCTTGATACATTAAAGACAGATCTGGATGCTTAATTTATTATGTTAAACAGAGGTTGTGGAAACTCAAGTAAGGTGACATGTACAAATGTTAAGGCATGGTTTAATAAAGCTCAATATGCATAAACTCTGCTTTTTGCTTCACATAAAGATGTTACAGAAAAAAAACAATTTCCTAACCTGTAAGTACAGAATCCAGTAGAGGTTGAGGAACCTTTTCCAAAAAATCCAAAATTTCAGATTTTGGATTTTTTCAAATTTTGGAATATTTTCAAATAAATAATGAGATATCTTAGAAATCTTGAGTCTAAATGTGAGAGCCAAGTCTAAACATGAAATTCATTTAACTTTCACATATACCTTATATATGCATATAGTCTGAAGGTAATTTTAAACAATATTTTTAATTAATAAGTTTGTGCCTGAAACAAAGTTGTGACTGTATTTTGAATGCAACTCGTCACATGAAGTCATGTGTGGATTTTCCACTTTGATACCATGCTGGCAGCCAAAAAGCCGTACATTTTGAAGTGTTTTTTGGAGCTCCAATTTTCAGATTAGGGACGCTTAACCTGTAATGTCACTCACCAAGGGCTAAAGATCCATCCCGTTATCCTACTAGATTTTAGCATGCTATTTTCCATCTCAGCTTTCTGTCATCATCTTACTTCGATATGTTCTCATTCTCTCATCATTTTGTTTTCAACAGCTCTTCAACAAGATTTATCTTTACCAATATCTTAAATATTAAATTAAAATAAAAGAAAATAAGACTTTCCTAAAGCTAAATAGTAATCTGTCCCATCTTTTTCCCTAAGCTGTAGATAGGTAAGAAGGAAGGAAGGAAGGAAGGAAGGAAGGAAGGAAGGAAGGAAGGAGATGGATGGAAGGAGATGGATGGAAGACAAGAAGGAAGGAGAAAAGAAAGTAATTAATTGTTAATTTTATTATAACAAGACCCTCACGGTTTGCTGAGACACAAAGTAACTATTATAAGCCAAGATTTCTGGTATCCAATGAAAGAAAGCTTACCATTGAATAGGAGACACCAAAGGAAAACATCATATTTCACCAAATCTAAGATACCATCAACTCAAAATTCATTTTTATTAAATGTCCCATTAAATTTTTTAAGTATTTCCAATTCTTTAATGAACAGTACATCAATGTTTAAAAATCACATACATTTAAAAAATGCTAAAATATGAAAATATGTGTATCTCAGGGGGCATAAGGAATATCTCTGTACCTTCCTCTCAATTTTGCTGTGGACCTAAAATTGCTCTAAAAAAATAAAGTATTGGCCAGGCGCAGTGGCTCACGCCTGTAATCCCAGCACTTTGGGAGGCCAAGGCAGGCGGATCAAGAGGTCAGAAGACAGAGACCATCCTGGCCAACATGGTGAAACCCCGTCTAAACTAAAAATACAAAAATTAGCTGGGGGTGGTGGTGCAAGCCTATGGTCCCAGCTCTTCAGGAGGCTGAGGCAGGAGAATTACTTGAACCCGGGAGGTGGAGTTTGCAGTGAGCCGAGATTGTGCCACTGCACTCCAGCCTGGCAACAGAGCAAGACTCCGTCTCAAAAATAAAAAATAAAAAAAGTCTTAAAAAAAATCTACTTCAAAATGGAGAACTACAACTATCCGAACACTCAGTAGATGCTCATTCATGTACAAACTATGACATTTTGGGAGGAGCCTGAGAGTGATGAGCATTTCTAGACATGGTCTCCAGAAGGCACAGAGCTGGAAAGACTCTGGACTGTCTTGAGGTTGGAGATACAGATATGGTTGGTATTAAGTAGGGGAGTGTTTTGAGTCTTTCACAAGTGAGGGAGAGTTTGTTCTAGAACTGAGATGTGGGGACGAGTGCAGGCATGTGGGATCTCCCTATGGAGAAAAACACCTCAACCAGGGATCATCTTCCTCCTCCACAATAGTATGTCACAAGCACTTCTGTAGCTGGTTATGGGTAAGAAATCAAGAAAATTTCCTAACTAGTGCCTGGAATCCTGGATACCATCATATAATGATTTTTCTTCTTCTCTTGGGTAACCAATAGGATTAGAAGACAGCAGCTACTAGTGACTGCTTTTACTTAAACCTTGCCCACGACTGGACTGTTCGCCTTTTGTAAGGACAGGCTTCTTAGCTGCAGAGGTAAGGGTGAGGGAAGGCACATGTAACAAGTTTTTAAGCAATTCCAGAAACTTTTTTATTTAAAAACTCTATGGCTAGGTAGAACAGTAGATAAGCAGGTCCACAGATAAATCAATCAGAGAAAAAAAAATCTTCCTTTAGAGGAGGTACATGAAACAGAAAACCCTCCCCATGACGAGATGCAACCATGATTCCCTAGGGAGATGAATGGGACCGCTCAGGACCATTCCCATTTGTCCATCTTCACTCCCCAAATGGACCAGTGACCCCTACTGGATTGTGACAGCTGTGGGCAAAACCCTCCTCCAATTCATGCTCATCATTAAGTAGGAAACTCCATCGTGGAGGGAGGCACAAAGCTGTTTAGACCCTGGAATTTCACCTAAGGCATAGAGATGCACACATCGCAGATGACCACATGGATACTGTCTGCATTTTGATTTGCTTTCTATTTGTTGGCTAATAAACAGACTCACCATGTGATCATTCTCTAGATGTATTGCTATTTCTACCACATCCTTACTTTGCAGAGACCCAAAACACTCCCCTACTTAACTGTGCATGATCAACCACATCTGTATCTCCAACCTCAACGCAGCACCGAAAATGAAGCAGGAGATGAGCCGGTATCTGATGGCTAGACTCCATGTAAAAACCAGTACTCCTTGGCAGTTCAAAAGCAATGCTTACCAAGCATGCTAGTTCAGATCTCTGACTGGGAATGCAGGAATCACAGGAATTACAAGCATCAATGCCCCGACTTTTGGGAACATTTTAGGCACAGGGAACCAAGTGCAAAACCAACTCTCCTACTACACTGTGGGAAGGGACTACAGAGATTGCCTAGTCCCACCCTCACAACCACCGAATTCTCCTCAAGAAGCCTTTAACAGCATTTACAAAGGGATAAAGGAGTATTTACAGAACCACGATCTCCCACCAGGAAATGAGGTAGCCTTTTGACTCACAGTGTAAAACAAATCAATAAGGATAAGTTGGCTGGCAATATAAAACCTGTGTCAGACAAAAACAAAGGAGAGAGGTAGCGAGAAATGGTTTAAATCCCTGCCATATTCAGTGACAGTAAGGGCATTTCCCATCACCGCTCCCCAGTCCACCTGTGGTATCTAATTCAAATACAGCCCTTTCAAAACCTTAAAGGAGTAAAGGAAGCTATCCTTGCCACCTTTCTTGGCCATGTGATTTTTGAGCTTAAAGTTACAATAATTAGACAACATGTATGGCTTTTACTAAATATAAGGAGCTTTTCCATACTATTTCCTATCCTCAGTACTATTTGTACAGGGCGATCTTATTCTTATTTTTACATGTGGCTCCAAAAGAATAATTAGTATCTCAAACACCCAACAGTATCTTCAGAGTACCACAATGCATCATAGGAGAATTAAATACATACACACACATATACTCACCTTATGTACATATACTCTGTGTGTGTGTATATATATATATACATATTTCCCATTCAATAACTGATTTCCTTTCTCATTTATAAGCCTGATGAGTATAAATGTGTTAGGAACAACTTGTACTTAATTCTCGTTTCTCTCTGATTTAGTCCCCTGAGAATGCCTCACTTTCACATTGACATCAAAATTTCCATCATTCTATCCTGGTCTCAATCCAAGTATTTTTTTGATTAGTGTCTTCCTTGGAACTTCTCTCCACCATCCTGCCTTTGCCTCATATTTTCCTCCTCATCTCATTTATCACTGACCAAGTTATAGGGGAAAAAATTCAAGAGTTCTATAAACTGCTTCTTCTAACTTCTGTTTTACTGATCTCTAAGCTACATGATTCATTAGTTTGCCTCGTCCTTTATCAATGCCTGCTTGGATTCTTCCTCTTCTTCTTCTTTTATTTATTTATTTGTTTATTTTTTTGAGACAGAGTTTCGCTCTTGTTGCCCAGGCTAGATCGCAGCGGCGTGATCTCGGCTCACTGCAACCTCCACCTCTTGGCTTCAAGTGATTCTTCTGCCGCAGCCTCCTGGTAGCTAGGATTACAAGCGTCCGCCACCACACCCGGATAATGTTTTGTATTTTTAGTAAAGACACGGGGTTTCACCATGTCGGCCAGGCTGGTCTCAAACTCCTGACCTCAGGTGATCCGCCTGCCTCAGCCTCGCAAAGTGCTGGGATTACAGGCGTGAGCCACCACGCCCCGCCTTTGCTTGGATTCTTCTGAAAAGCAACCTTAATTAAATGTCCATTGTTAGCAGGACACGTAACCAAGATTTTAAGACATGTTTGTCTAGCTCTCAGGACCCTCTGAATGCTGACACATTAAGATAACGCCTGTGTGAGAGGTATGTTACTGAGCTTCATACATGGCTCACACTAAGGTAGGGTGTGATTTTAGCAACACGCAAAGAACCTGCAAGACGAATATGAGTTAGACATGGAGCAACTGCCAGGCAACGTGGCATGTTCACCGCTTAAACACTCCATTTCATTCCAAGGTACCAAAACGATAATAGACTTTATTCTAATTGGATTGTCTGCAATGAGCCAATTTAAGTGCTAAATGCTGCGAATTATTCAGCCTGACATAGCAATGCACTGATGTGAGCCACTGCAGGGCAGGAGGTTTGTGGAACGTGTGAGTTCCCAAAGCATAATGAGGAGCCGAGCGTCTAACTTGGCAGGCCTCCACCGTACAGATTCATATTGTCTCAGCAGCTGCAGGGGACGCAAAAAGCATTGGCGGCCACCTTGACCCAAAACGCATCTGCCATCAGCCAGTAGAGCTGATTCCGTAGCATTCCAGTCCCCACATCGCTAGGATGAAGAGAGGTCGAAGGCTTCAGAAGAAAACAGCTCAGAATGCAAGGAAAAATTATCCACAAGAATGGGCATCATTCACCATCAATTTCGACTTATTATTTTGACATTTTCAGAATGTTATAATGTTTAAACTTAAAAAGGCACTGGGTAGGATTTTTATCAAGAGTGATTAAAAGCTTGAGATCTGTAATGGAAATGGAGCCACCATATACCAGTTTGCTTAACCCAAGACAAATTATTTAATATTCCTATACCTCAGTGTCTTCATTTGAAAAATGGACATCATAATAGCTCCTATATGCTACATGACTGTTATGAGGATAAAATAGATTTTGAACATGTATGAAACCTAACACATGCAAGCAATTAAAAACATATAATGATTAAAAGATAAATATAATAATAACAATAACAGATTTAAAGAGAAACAATCGAATAGGCATCTATGAAACTCCATTTTTAATCTAAATTATCATGATCTCATGTTACAGCACACACAGAAAGGTGCCTAATTTGACAGTGAGATTTTTTTTCTCAGCACAGTTTTGTCACAGCTTAACCTCTAGAAATCATTTATTTTAAAACATACAAGGTGGGGAGTAGGAGGTTAAAATAGTCTCTTTGGTGCCATCTAACACGAAAATTAGAATTTTCAAAATCAATTTATAACTATGATAATCTCATTACTAAAATAATTTTCAACACCACCCTATGTCTGAATCAAACTATATTTTCATTAAATAGTGTAGCTCTATACACACACACACCCAAAAATAAGTCTAGAATCCTGTGAAAAACTCAATTTACAAATGCCAACAAAGAAAAACATGCAGCCAACTTTTAATGTTTAGGCTCAAGAGGAGACTGTTTCCTCAGCTTCCTGACTAAAGTTTAAATCAAAATGTCTTACATGGCAAATGTAACTGACTGCATTTGGGCTAAGGGATTTAAGTGCTGTAAGATTCATATCTAATTTAATAGCACTCTGTATATTTTTATGCATAAGAATTAAAAGCAGTTGAATAGTTTACTTGACTACTTTTCCCTCATCTGTGCAAAGTGACCCACACCCAGACACATTAATTCAGGAATGGGCTGCAATTATTTGTGCTGTTCAGCCAGGAGTTATAAAATGCAACTCAAGCTGTCTTAAACTCAGTGTCACTATTTGGGATTTCCTATAGTATTCAGGTTCAGATATTTGACTTTAAATCAAGTGATATTATGATGCTTTGCAAACACCAATCTTACCCTCTGTGATTGCGTCTTCTTGCTGAAGAATTAATTTCCATTTACATAGAGCATCTGAAACATAATCAGATACTTCCTGGACTTCTCAAAAAAATAAAATAGAAAGAAGAAAGAAAGAAAAAATATGTTCCTAAAAGGCCTCATTCAGCAAGGCTTAAACTATAGCTTCTGAACAAGGATTTACAAACTTTATTGTGCTGATCTCTAGAAACAGGCCAAAGAATAATAAGATGATGACAAATAAGATATATTTCACGGCTCTAATTACAGAACAACAATGCCTTCCTCTAACTTGACACCGTCTCTTGCTACATTAATCAGATTTCAGCTCAACTACCCCTCCACTGCCATATTGAAGTCAACAGAAAAGAAGTGAGAGAGATGTTCTGAAATATTCAGAAAACACAGAACAGGAAAATAGGGGGAGAAACACTGCCCTGCTTCCAAACATGCAAAGAAAAGGAAATGGAGAACCGACAGAGCTATTTATCTTAAGATAAGTTTCAAAATCTTGCCCACTTAATTTTTATTTATTCATTTATTTATTTTTGAGACAGAGTCTCACTCTGTTGCCCAGGCTGGAGTGCAGTGGCTTGATCTCAGCCTACTGCAACCTCCGCCACCTGGGTTCAAGCGATTCTCCTGCCTCAGCCTCCTGAGTAGCTGGGACTACAGGCACGCACCACCACGCCCGGCTAATTTTTACATTTTCAGTAGAGACGGGGTTTCACCATGTTGTTCAGGCTGGCCTGGAACTCCTGACCTGGTGATCCGCCCGCCTTGGCCTCCCAAAGTGCTGGGATTATAGGCGTGAGTCACCGCACCCAGCCCACTTAATTATTATGTATGTAATAGATATGCTTTAAAAAGACTCAAACAATATGGTAACATTTGGAGAAAAATAAAATGCATCCCATATAAAGCCCACGTATTCCTCTCTGCCTATGCCCATCCTCCTCATCAAAGGAGAGTTCATGACAATTTATTTGTTTTGTGTGTATCTTTCCTAACCTGTTTCTACATGTTAAAATTACTTACATATTGAGGTAATTATACCTCGATATGGGTCAATATTGTAATTTCTTGGAAATAAGCTAGGAAGAAGATTGAATTAATGAAACCAGGAAGGTACTTGACTCTAAAGGGGGAAAACTAGTATCATTTCAGAACAGCATGTTTATTCATAAAGGCCAAGACCGTTCTAACTAATTTACGAAGAATACTTTCAGATGCTTAAACTCGGAACGTGAAAACAAGGACATAGGCAAGTATCTGCCTCCTACACTGCTGTATTCATAGCAGGAAAGAGACGCAGTCAATGATGACTACCAGATGGCAAGGAGCTACCAAATATTGCCGGGAGTCACATTTCTCTGGAACATTTCTCTAGAAATGAGCAGGGAGCAGAAATTCAAAGTCCCCATGGGGAACACAGATTTGAACTGGGTCTTAAAGTAGAAGACCCAGCTCCAAGACTATTAATCAACTTTATACCTTATTCCAGCACCCCACATGGAATCACAAAAAGAAACGCTTAAGTCAAGTGTAATTAACCCTTTCCAAACAGGAAACGTAGGTCAAAGAAGTCAAAAAGCCAGAGATCAGTGGAATCTTTAATGTTGACCTAATCATGACATCAGTTCTAGGACCACTGAACTGTAGATGAGAGGAAAAGTAACTCCATGAACCAAGGTTTCCACTCAGATGGGACATAAACCAGAGCCTTTGTGATCCCACTGTGAAGTATACTCAATTAGGCTGGAAAAGGGGGGAGGTTTTCCTTTTGTTATAACACTGAAACAAAATAGGATTCTTTAGTAAATTTGGACCGATCTCTGAGAGCTGAGCTCTTCTCTAAGACCACGCCTCTCAGTTTACACAGCTTTAGAAACCCAGACATTCACACTGGTGAGAAGAAAGCATCAGACAAAACTAAAAGCTGGGGAGATTTCCCTTAGAGATTAGTCACATAACCAAGTATGTTCACTTCAGGTGTAATGAACGAGGTAATGCTCATCCAGCCATGGGTGCAGACTTAGTAAGGAATATGCTTTCAATGGAATAAAAGGCACAGACCACTGGATATCCCTTTGTGAAGACCACAAAAGCAAGGTTACAAAAAGACGTAAAGAAACTCATACAGAAATATAAGATCTAGAAAACTCTGAGCAACCACTGAAGCCACACATCCATATGAGTGCATACACATACATATGCACTCGTAGAGTGCATCTGTATGAATCAGAAAAAGGTGTCCCTCGGCCGGGTGCGGTGGCTCACGCCTGTAATCCCAGCACTTTGGAATGCTGAGGCAGGCGGATCACGAGGTCAGGAGATTGAAACCATCCTGGCTAGCACAGCGAAATCCCGTCTCTACTAAAAATACAAAAAATTAGGCGGGCGTGGTGGCGGGCACCTGTAGTCCCAGCTACTCGGGAGGCTGAGGCAGGAGAATGGCATGAACCCAGGAGGCGGAGCTTGCAGTGAGCCAAGATCGCGCCACTGCACTCCAGCCTGGGTGATAGAGCGAGACTCCGTCTCAGAAAAAAAATAAAAAAGAAAACGTTGTCCCCTCAAAGGTTGAAAAAGTACCTGCTGGGGACTACGCTCACTATTTGGGTGATGGGTTCAACAGAAGCCCAAACTCCAACATTATGCAATACATCCATATAACATAACTGCACATGTATCCCCTGAATCTAAAGTTTAAATGAAAAGAAAAGGTGTCCCTTGCTCTGATATGCAGCCGCCATTGGTCTCCTTGGCTGGTGCTCTCACACAGTGAGCAGCCTGCCCAGCTGTCCACTGCAGTCCTTCACATACACCTGTTCATGTTATTTTCAGCATGAGAAAAACCAGTAAAGCAAAAAGAAATTGGAAGAAAAATACTAAAAAATGGTGAAAAAAAAATAAAACCTAAACATCAATGACTTGTTTCCAGAGTCTGTTTCCTGCCAGTAAACTAAAATACCCACATCAAACCACTCTTAAAATGATTCCAGGCTCTGCATAATTCAAATGTTTTACAAGAAACTCCTAACTGCATGGAGAATAAAGAAATGCCAACCTCCCAAATCTTGGTCCCGATTGACAAGAATAAGGGGAATTAAATATCAAAACTATGCAGATTATTCAAGAATATCAAACAAAAAGGCAAAAGATCAAAAAACAGCTATACAACTTTTAGAAAAGACTGTCGGTCTTCTGAGCACAAAAATCAATCATGATGACCAATTCCAAAGGATTTTTTTTCTTTACTTTTTCCTCTTTTTAACATTAAAGGGTAATTAAGTCATACATAAGTGAAGCTTTGCAGTTTGACTTCAGTAAGCAAAGCCTAATTCTAAATGATGCTGAGACACTACAGAATGCAAATCCATGAGTAATTTTTAAATTTAAAAGGGAACCAAGAAAACACCCTCTTCATTATGCAAATTCCTCCTACCTTCTCAGTGGGCTAGTTCTCACCCAAGTAAATAGAAGAGTTATTGTTTTGTTTGCTGACTGTTTTGGTCTTAATAGTGGTAAGGGGCCATAACTACATTCCCATGGAAATTATATATAAAGAAGGGGTATTTCTAAAGCTGACTATACTGTTGCGCATTTTCTAAGAGTACCAAGGAATACTCTTAGAAGGAAATCCTATGAGGCTACAAAAATACTTCATAAAAATAGAAGGCAGCTAGATAAGATCCTGAGGACTCGCTCCTTACACCACTCACAAAAAGAAAAGATTTAATTACATTAGAAGGACATCAAATGATGCACACTGACAATTAAAATAGAAGAAATTGGGGGCGTAAATCATCCTGGTGAAAAATACACAGATTTACCAGGAGTGAAAGAAATGCAAATTGAAACAACTTTAAAGTTACACTTCACAGCTATTAAAATACAATGAAATTATAAAATTCAATTTTTGGTAGAGCTCTAGATAAACAGGTACACACTGCTGGCAATGAAACCAACTTCAATCTTTCTTTAAATGATCTAGCAGCCTTTAATAAGAGCTGTTCAAACGCAGTAATTTCAAAGAAGTAACTTGGGGAAAAAAGAAATTAATTTATACCAAGAAATATTACATTTCATTATAAAATAATGAAATTGAAAACAATGCTTCAAAATGGGGAAACAATCATACAAACCATGACGCAGCAGCATGGTATATAATGACATTTAAGGTAATGACATGTAAAATACATCCCCTATTAAAAATACACTTGTAGACAATATTAACAGAAAGATATGTATTTAAGTATATTTATTCAATCAACAAGAAAAATGCAATTAAATGTATTTTCATAGTGAATGTGAAAAGCAGAATCAAAAGTAGTCCCAAATGGAAAAATAGGTTCAAATATTTAGTAAAAATAACATAGGAAGCCAAAGTGATGGAATTAGCATTTAATTTGCCTACTCTTTTATCCCACTCTCAACAAATATTAATTGGACTTCTATGTCTCTGGTGCCTGGCCAGACACTTAAAATACAGTAAGGAGAAACAAAGGCACAGGTACTGACCTCATGATTACGAAGTTCACAAGGGAAATGTCTCTGCCCCCTTCCCCTCTTTGTCTTGAAACCAAAAATGTATTAAGTATCAGTTCATAAGTATTGAAAGGGTTTGAAAGAAGGAAATAGAGGTTGTCATAGGAGAGAGGAGTATGAAGGTCAAGAGGGGCTTTCCTAAAGACACTATGAGAAACTGGAAGAGTAGACGTTATCCAGGTGAAAGAGGATGCAGAGAGGACAACAGGAGCAGCAGAGGGAATAAGAGGTGCTGAGCCCAGAGAAGGTGCTGGAAGAATAAGGCAGAGGTCTTCTGTGGCCAGAACATAAAGAATGGGGGACAACCAGAGTCAAGAATTGAATCATGGGAGGTGGGGCTGAGACCTGGCAAAGATTCAGGCCTTCCACCTAAGTGCCAAGGGAAGCCCCTGACAGTTTTAATCAAAGCAGGGACCGTCTGGGGCTTGCTCAGATTTCCTCCTGGCTGCACCGAACAGAGGCAGGGGGTTCTGTGGGGAAAGCAGGTGGGAATCAACAGCATAGGGAAAATGACAGCCTTGGATTGTTAAAAGACAAAAAGAAATTCTAGGAGGAGCCTCGGGAGTTATCTCACAGACACAAAGCCTGCACCAGGTACTACAAGGCTGGCTTCACTCTCAATTTCTTAAACATAATTAAGAAAACACAGTCACTACCAGCATAGAAAGGAAAGGAACAGGAACAAATTGGAACAGGCAATATCCAGGAGAGGAAAATCCAGTGGTTAAAGGTGTAAAATGATGCTCAACATCACCAGCAACAAGAGAAAGGCAAGGTAAAACAGTGAGTTACCATTTCATACCCACTGGGTTGGACAACATTAGGATACGAGGCAATGAGAATCTTTGGTAAGCTCATATGACTCTTGATGTTCAAACAGAGATGGTGCAGAGCAACAGTAGAGTCATCCTAGGAAGTGATGGAGCACATTTTGGTGACATTCGGCAACAAACAAATTCACTAAATTTGCAAAATTCATCAGGACAAACAAAGTGTCTCCCTGTGGGGAATGGGTAAGAATGGGATGGATCAATACACGAAATAGGACACAGCATTCAAAAGCAATGAAGAGGTACGTAAGGCATGTGAACAGACTTTGAAAATTGGCATTGATTTAAAATGCATAACAGCATAATGAGATATATCACACAAAAATAAGTGAATTAAAAATACTACTAATCAGCATCTTTGGGGAAAAAAGAATGGAATATGAGTGAAAGAGAAAAATGAAGTAAAGCAAAACAAACCACAAGGAGCCCCTTCACAAACCAAGGAGGACAGTATGCCATGAAGAGTATGATCACTAAACTCTCTGAACCTGATGTCCAAATTTTAAAAAAGTGTTTAAATGATTTTGGAACAGACTTTAATATTTATCAGCGATAAAAATCTCACTTGGTATATTATTGTATACAAATACCATGGCAGCAATATTAGCAATTCGATTTCTCTAACAAACCTCATGTATTGTAGTTTTTATATTATTACTTTGCTACCCTTGAGGTTTAAACTGTATAGTCCTACAGATTTTAAAACTTCAGTTGAGGTCAGATGCCATGGCTCATAACTGTAAACCCAGCATTTTGGGAGGCTGAGGCAAGATAACTGCTTGAGCATTTTGGGAGGCTGAGGCAAGAGAACTGCTTGAGCCCAGGAGCTCAAGACGAGCCTAGGAAACACAGTGAGACTGTATTGCTACAAAAAAATTTTTAAAAATTAGTCAGGTGTGGTGGTGCACCTGTGGTCCTGGCTAACTGGGGGACTGACGTGGGAGGATTGCTTGGCCCCAAGAAGTTAAGGCTGCAGTGAGCCATGATCACAGCATTGCACTCTAACCTGGGAAACAGAGTGAGACCCTATCTCAAAAAATGAATACATAAAAATTAAAAAATTAAAACCTGTGTTGACACAGATTCATATTAGCTAGCTGAAAAGGGTACACCTATCTAGAGAAAACAGCTCCTTTATCATCGAAGAAACGCTTATGTAACTTGTACCATTTGTTTGACCTCTTACAACAGGAAATCTAAAATTCTCAGTAGCTGATCTTTGAATTTTCTGCTGAAGAACCACCACTGAGCACGTGGGCTCCAATGTGCTTAAAAAATTATCTCAAAATTGGCCAAGGAATGAAACCAAGAATAGCCTTGCCATTAAAAGTACCCAGTTATCAGAAGGGGTAGAAAAACCCCATTTCATTCCTACTCTTTGCAAACACAAAAATCCTTTTTAGTGTTTCTGAGAAAAGATAGCATATCTAGTGAAAGGGCAAGTCAGTGAAAGGAACAGTAGGAAATCTCACTTGGAATGGGGGGCAGTATTTCAGACCCCTCTGTCATATCTCAGCTTCCATGTAAGGCCCAACAAATTCGGGAACTGGAGACTCTTACGTGTTAAGCCTAAGCCCTAACATGATTTAAACCTGCAATCACTGCAACATAATTGATGTTCTTTCTTTTAATGTCAGTATTATTCATTTTTATGTAGATTGGTGGTAACTTCTACCTCACCAACAGATTCTCATTATGTCTCCTTAAGCACATAAAATCAAATTAATTCATGTTTGCTTTCTTTCTATCTGCCCTTAATTCCTGCAGAGGAGAAACACAGAAGCAGAAGGTTCCAGGGTTTATTGCTGCACTGAGTCACTAAATTATACAGGATTGAACTGTTGATCCTAAATTACTCAAACTCTAACCACGTCCTCCAAATCTTACATGTGGAACTGTGGCCAAATGCAGCCAATGACCTCCCAATATATATTTCACAACTAGATTTCCACTTCTGAAAAACTGATTTTTTTTTTTTTTTTTTTTTTTGCTCTGTTGCCCAGGCTGGAGTACAGTAGTACGATCCCGGCTCACTGCAAACTCCGCCTCCCAGGTTCAAGCGATTCCCCACCTCAGCCTCCCGAGTAGCTGGGACTACAGGCATGCGCCACCATGCCTGGCTAAGTTTTGCATTTTTAATAGAGACAGGGTTTCACCGTGTTGGCCAGGCTGGTCTCGAACTCCTGACCTCAAGTGATCCACCTGCCTTGGCCTCCCAAAGTGCTAGGATTACAGGCGTGAGCCCGGCCGATTTTTTTTTTTTTTTTTTTTTTTTTTTTAAAGAGAGGTGGTCTTGTTCTGTCGCCCAGGCTGGAGCAGTGGCACAATCATAACTCACTATAGCCTCGAACTCTTGGGCTCAAGCCATCCTCTTGCCTCAGCCTCCAGAATAGCTGAGACTACAGGCACACACCACTACACCCAGCTAATTGTTTTACTTTCCACAGAGACGGGGGTCTCGCTATGTTGCTGGCATCAAACTCCTGGCCTCAAGTGATTTTTCCCACCATGGCCTCCAAAGTGCTGGGATTACAGGTATGAGCCGCTGCATCCAGTTCCAAAATACTGACTTTATAAGTTCCTTCAGACCTGTACCTTGGTCTCTGCTCAGCAGTTACAAAGGAAATCGGCTCCTTAGCTTTACCACAATTGAGAAAGAAGTCCCACTGACAGTCCGATTTCAGATAAGATCAAAGCAACCAAGAATTCTTCCAGGCCAATCGTTATCATCTGTGTTCCCTTAATTACAGGAACTTTTGTCTGCATTTTGCTTATGGTTCTACCCAGTGCTGCAATAATCTTCCTTACTAGACTTATAAATTCCCAGAAGAAAGGATTTTCTGCAATCCCCTTCAGCACAGGGTTTTGCTCATAAAAGGACCTTCCATAAAAACACACTTTTATTCAAGGATGTCAAAGAGATTTCATCGTGAGTACCAATTCGACATGACTGATGGAGGCAGCTTTCAGAGCAATGCTGAGAAGAATCAGGAGGGCACATCTGGGCTCTGCTGGGAAGACGGCCTGATCAACTAGTGATGTCTTCCTTGATCATGGAGGCAGGGGAGAGAGACCATGTGCCTTTGGATCCAGAAAGGAGGCTTCTCAATTGTTGGTTTTAGAATTAGCCTGAGATTTGAGAGTCACCCTCGAGCTTTTCTTAGCAAGAGTATAAACCAGGCATTAAGAACCAGGCCAGTAGTTATCATATTCTATAATAAATATTTACTATGACACCATTTATATAAAAAAAAAAGGGGTGGGGGAAGTTGGGGAAGAGAAGGAATAAGTAGCATACTGTGACAGAATATGTTACCCCAAATAACAACTTCTTGCAAAAATGCTTTATAATTTCAAACATTGTGTGTTTTAAGTTGTCCAACTCAAAAGTGTAATAACTTCATTTATTGGTTTAATTCTGTTTTCTATGAAAAAAATAAAAATATCGCTCTTTCCTGAAAAGAAAACCAGGACACCTTTTTTTAATGTTGTAGCCAGGAGCAACAGTAGTCAGACAGCGTTTTAAAAATCTAACTCAGATATATGGATTTCTACAATATGAACACAATTCTACCTACCTACCTACCTACCTACCTACCTACCTACCTACCTACCTACCTACAGGGTCTCACTCTGTCTCCCAGCCCAGCTAGAATACAGTGGTGTAATTACAACACATTGCAGACTTGATCTCCCAGACCCATGTGATCCTCCTACCTCAACATCTAGAGGAGCTGGGACTACAGGCCTGTGCCACCACCCTTGGTTAGGTTTTTATTTTTTACTTTTTATTTGGAGAAATGGGGTCTACCTATGTTGCCCAGGCTGGTCTCGAATTCCTGGGCTAAAGTGATCCTCCTACCTCGACCTCACAAAGTGCTGAGATTACAGGTGTGAGCCACCACACCAAGTCCATATATATATGTTTTTTTTTCCTTTTTTTTTCAGGTGGAGTTGAGCATTGTCACCCGGGCTGGAATGCAATGGCATGATCTCGGCTCACTGAAACCTCCACCTCCGCAGTTCACATGATTCTCCTGCCTCAGCCTCCCGAGGAGCTGGGATTAAAGGTGCACACCATCACACCCGGCTAATTTTTTTTTTATTTTTAGTAGAGACAGGGTTTCATTATGTTGGCCAGACTGGTCTTGAACTCCTGACCTCATGATCCACCTGCCTCAGCCTCTCAAAGTGCTGGGATTACAGGTATGAGCCACCGAGCCCAGCCCCAAGTCCCTATAATTTTTAAATCCAAGGTCTTAAAATGTTTTCTTCAAATATGACTTCACTTTCTCCACAGCAAAAAAAGGAAGCATTCCAACTTTAATAATGTCACATGTACTTTTAGAGCTAAAAAAACCTAAAATATAAAACTCCATGTATTCATGTCTCTCTGAAATAAAACACACTAATGAAAAAATTAATACTTACATGATTCTTTCATAAGAGAATATTTTCTCCTAAGTACAAGGAATCTTAATCCTGGAGACATAATACATGTAAAATTAGTGATGAAATACTGAATGGTCTATTTCATCTAGAGAAGAAGTATTTTGGGAAGTTAAATGGACACAGACAAAGGGTGAAGAAGCTTTGGCCCTTGCTTTTATTTTTGACTCAGTTGAAAGTTTTCTAATAACACCTCTCAGCTGTCCCTGTTTATCCCACCATAGAAAGAGTGAAAATCAACAAAGTTGGGCAGATATCTGAACCTGCTTGGTTTGACTTCAGAAGTTCTCTCTTGATTTTGTAGATCTTTAACTGAAATACAGACCAAAACACAGAATGCTCCGGAGATGCTTAAATACTCCTGGGGATTGAATTTGTGTTACGTGTCTAACAAAGAAATGGATGAACAAGCAAGTATGCTAACTGTTAAAAGACCACCTTTAATCTGAGAAAATGAAAAGTTCAATACAGCACATGAAGTTTTGAAAGACAAAGAATCCTGAGAATTGGATAGATAGTGTCAAAAGATGGAAGGGGAAGTGATCCATTAAAAAACAGCCCAGCCACTAGATATGGTCTTAGAAAGCAGATTCTAATGTGACTCCTGAAAAGCGCATGACAAGACCGTTTAGAGGATAAGATAATCTTGGGGGTTGTGAGCTCACCACATACTTGGAATCACAGTCAAGCTCCCTATGTCCCTAACCTCAGTTTACCCACTGAAGTATGTATGTCCTCCCCAGCCCTTACGTGATAACATATTGTGTGAGAGTAATATAACCTGTATCGGCAGAGCAGTCAGACTATCAGAATAGCTTTCTGATTACCGCATCTGATTTTCAAATATCTATAGTGTGGCAATCTTTCGAGCAGGGAGAATGAAGCCTTTTCCTTCAAAAAGCAGCTCCTTTGAGGTCTTCTAGGGACTGGGGGAAAAAAAGCCTTTCCTTCATCAAAGTGCAGGAAAAGACAGACAGCAGGAACCAAATGGACAATTTTCTACCCATTTACAACATTACTTTTGAGCATCAAAAAAAAAAAGGCTTTCCAATTAGAATCAAAGATCACTTTATACTTTGGTAATATTTAACAATTTTCTTTACTAGGATGAAAACCCAGGGTAAAATTACTGGGCTGATTTTTGTCAACTGGAAAAAAATACATATGTGAAATGTAAATACCAGCTATACTCATATGCAATGCCTTTCTTGGCTTCTACAGACTGGATTTACACCTTTGTTAAGCCACCTAGGGGACAGCATTTTAGAAAGACTACATTAAATTCTGAGTAACAATTTAAATGTAGTGAAAAACCCCAGCTGTTATGTAAGAGTTAGAAAGCCAACCATGAAACTAGGTAGATATGAGCCAGAGGCCTCTGGACATCTGCCAGGAAGGTTTTAAATCCTGTAAATTGGCAGTCTATAGGCATGCTACAAACAGTGAAATACTGTACCACCGTCACTCTCAAAAAGTCCTGGGAAGCAGGCTTGATCTGCACTGCCCACATTTGCTTGGGCCTGTAGGGAGATGGTTAGTCAAATGACATAAAAACACAGCACTGGAAACCACTGACCCTGCTTTAGAGACAGAAAACAGAGGATGTTTGCACTTCTTTCTCTTGGCACAAAATTTTTTCAGACTTTCACAGTCTCTTGAGTCCTGAGAAAAAAACCCAGCTCCTTCTGGATGGAGACTTACAATCACAGCAGGGCCCAGTTTCAAGTGGTGGGTACTGGCAAGTCTGAGGCGGATGAAAGCCCCTGCAGCTGCACTTGGGTGTTAAAAATGAGGAAGGACAGGATGAGGTTACGCCAGAGAGGAGGCACAGGCTGGATCAGTCCCGGCTGTGGAAAGAAATACCCAAAGCTCATCAGATTCTCTCAGCCCCAGCAGGAAAACTGAACACCCAGATGTGAAAGAGACTATTTACAGAAGCATCTCTTCCTGCCAATACCTGAATGACATCCATCTTTCTGGCTGACAAGTTTAAGTCAGTCCAGAAATGTGAGAAGACAGAACAGACATATGTAAAAAGGAAAGGGGTGGGAAGAGCCATCCGTGCTTAATTACACACTTCCTGTTAATAAAATATAAAAATAATTAAGTACAGACCACCATATGACCTGATTGTAAGGTCATGACTTAATTTGTTTAATATACACACTATATGTTTATATAATTCAGTGTGACATGCTGATTTGCATTAATAAAAACATGTATCTTTGGCCAGTAATTACTGTTAAGTGGGCTTCCTTAAGAAGCCAATAACAGCCAGGCCCGGGCACGGTGGCTCACGCAATTAACCCCAGCACTTTGGGAGGCCAAAGTGGGTGGATCACCTGAGGTCAGGAGTTCCAGACCAGCCTGGCCAACATGGGGAAACCCTGTCTCTACTAAACATACAAAAATTAGCCAGGCTTAGTGGTAGGCACCTGTAATCCCAACTACTTGGGAGGCTGAGACACGAGAATCACCTGAACCCGAGAGGCGGAGGTTGCAGTGAGCCGAGATTGTGCCACTGCACTCCAGCCTGGGAGACAGAACAAGACTCCGTCTCAAAAACTAAAAATAAAAAAAGAAGCCAATAGCCACGTGACTGCAGTATCAGTATCGCATTCTGTGAGTACCCTCAGAGGAGCAGATGTAAAGCAGTGTCATGCAGAAAGCCTGAGGTGGTAAATTACACTCAGATGAAAGGACGAGGTAAGGCATCAGGAGAGCAGCAGCTCATGGGATTCGCTGGGGAATCTGCATGTTCATGGTGGGGGACACAAAATACCAGATGGAGAGAACAGCACGGGACAGATAAAGGGAGAGGGGAGAGAGCATGGTTTGTTTGAGGCAAGGTATGCCATCAGCTTAGACAGAGTGTAAGGTACACAGAAAACACTGGAAGGCAATGAGACTGGAAGGAGTTTGGCAGGTCTTACATGTGCCTATGCTACTGGCACACACATTCAACCCCAAAGACAAGGCCAAGTAAAGCAGCCCCTGGTGGGAAAGGAGAGCTGAGTTGAGGGGCGACTCTCCTAGTTACCAAGATGGCAGGTCCCTAAGTCCACATTATATCCCTGATATCAAAAATAAGCAACAGAGCTAGGATCTATGTACTATTTTGTTCACTGATATATGCCAGATACACAAAACAATGATAGATACATATTACATGCTCAATAAAGATTTACCAGGTAGGAAGTATTTACCAAATACTACCAGGAGAGAGGGCTGAGAGAAGACAGTTAATGATTACTGAGTGCTCACTATATGTTAAGACACTGCTGATACTTTACAGGTATACTATCTAATGTGGTCCTTAGAAATTTATGATATAAGTGCTTTTATATTTTACAACTTACATCTTTTATCTCTGAAATCAGGACAGATACTATTATTGATGGTAACTTAGCAATATAGCACAGTTTAATTGGTAGTGAGTTTTCTTCCTTAGGGGTACATAAAAGATAGCAGGTCTTACATTCAAGGGCGTCTTCCATTTGATGAATCTTAATACACAGGTGATGGAAACTAAGGCTCAATGAATTACATTTGTTCCCTTGGGCCTACATGCACCTGTCTAGCAAGCACCTGCTTCTCCCTCCAATGCTATAATCAGCCCTGAGGTATTAAGAACCATACAATGGAAAGTAGCTCTCAGCATGTTCTCCCACCTAATTCTTTCCAAACAAGCAGGCAGAAAGACTACCTTAGGCCACCCTAACATTCATGCCCAACCCTTTCAGTTCCAATCAGCCTGGAAACAGAAGAATGTGGCATCTCTCCAGGTCCCCAGAGCAGGCTAACAGTCTGCATATGGTACACCCCATGGTGAGAAGGACAATTCATACTGGGTGATAACCAACAATTCAGTGTATACCTAACGTTTTATTTTCTCCACACCAAGCTGGTAGGACAATAGAGTACCTTCCCATCCAATATGCTCTTTATTACCACGTTTCATTACAAGACAAAAACCTTCATCAAGGAAAAATGGGGGAAGAGGTATAAAAATAGGCAAGCATAATTATCAGGTAATATCATTTTAAAACATCCTTTTTATTAAAGAGGTTTCTTTTACTTTTTTAAGGTCCAGATATCTAGCAGTGATATCAATGTTACAAAGTAAAGGAAAAAGAAATGGCATTCTACAAATTGTGGAGCCTGAATTTATCTAAAATCAGATGGTTCAGACCCCAGGAGCAGGTGGTCACCCTAGGAAAGCAGTTGGCAAATTGGCTTATCTCAGAATCAGTGTGAAAAGGCTCTAAAGCTTGCTGGATTGAAGAATCTGGGATGCTATTAACGCTTAGCCCAGTCAATAGACAGTACAAAACAAGAACACTTCTCTGTGGACTGAGGGAACTGCAGTTGAAATTGGGAAGCATATACATCTTGCACATAGCGTGCAAATTCACCTTTGGATTTATAGTTTCCAAGGGAACTGAAACAGTACATCCAAGGTTGTTCTTATCTACCTCATCTCAGTGTATACCACCCAGAGGGAACAAGTGATAATACTTTCTTAGCATCAGCAGTCAATAGAAACATTAATTAAGAGTTGAAAGCCATCCAGTAACTTTTTTGCATCACAGAACTCAAATATGGAGGCAGTTCTTTGCTTACCAACCCAACCTTCACACTCCTTGTTTGCAATAACACACTGCTGAAGGATGCACAAAGCATCATACTGTGTTATCTGTATGAAAAACTACAGATATATACAGACATGGTAGCAAAATATAACTTAAGAGAAAACCCAACAAAACATAAGCCATTAAGTTTATTGGTAGCCGAGCTTAAAAATATTTAAATGTAGACTACTAGAACATCTGAAATCCACGTTAGTCCATATGGTTTGCCATCTATTCCTACAAGGGCACCACTGCCTTTGTCAGCAGATTAAGAGCGCTCAGCTATGTTGAACACTTAGTATGTTCCAGGCGCTGAACTAACAAGTTTCTATGCTTATTTCCACTGACCTTCACAGCATTGTTATGAGATTATTGCTGTTAGCATCCACAGGTTAAAGATGAGGTAATGGAGGCTTCGTGAGGTTAGATCCCTTGCCTAAAACCACAGCGGGACCAGGATTTTTACCTGGCTGGTGACACTCCAGAGCAACTATTCTGTACTGCCACCTACGATTTTTTTTTTTAACTACAGTACACACATATAGTGACAAGTGCCTAAAATTATGTGTTCTGAATTCACATGGACTCTGTCCTCTAACTTGTCTGATATTTGTTACCACCTCAACCATCCTGCCACCAAATTTGGAGGTGGAAAATAAGCTTACAATCCGTGGACCTGGGCATTAATGGGCCTCCAGTTGTCTTACTTAGCCTTAGAGACAGGGTGGTTTGGGAGCTGCACTGCAGCAGATTTGAAGAGGAGGTGTTTGGGGTGCTCCTGCAGGGATGGATGAATGACAGGAAAACACACCTTACATCAGAGGATGGGGACTTACAGAGTCTTTGCCAACTCTGCAGGTGTGCGTCCATTTACAGACTTCTAACAGATCCACAGATGTGTCTAATGACAGGAGGAGCAGGCCTTTCATTGAGAGATTGGGAAGGAGGGGGAGAATTAACAGCACAGCAGCAATGGTAGAAGTCATTTATTTTTCTAATTAAATTCTCAAATTCATGGGAGTAGCCTATTAAAAATACAAAACAAAACAAACCGGAAAATGTGGATGTAGAGGTTAGCGTCAGCATTATTTTTTAACGATGATACAGATAAACGACGACATTACAACCTTGTGTTGTTTCCTTATTGCCTCTAACTTTGGGTATTTAAAAAAAAAAACACTATTTCTAGCCATCATACCATGTCATTTGATACTTGTAATTTGAGCTGATGCACTCAACAAGACTATTTGTGTTTAAAACTGTGTTAGAAAATTACATTTTTTAAAAAACAGACATTTATAGAGCAATTTCTATTTGCAAAGTGCTTTGCAGTCATTTTTTAAAGTAATTCTTCACAACGATGTAAAGTAGGTCAGAGTTATTATCCCTTATGCCTCCTCTTTCAGAAGGCTGAGTTAAAGAAGGTACAAAAAGGTTAAGTGATTTTCCTGGGGTTACACACAAAGTTGGTAGCAGAACTGAAGATGCTACTACAGCTGCTAAATCCCACGACATCCCGATGAATCCCACTGACACATTGGCCCCATTTCAGAATTTCCTAGGATCTCTGTTTCAAACTATATACAGATGCCTGTCCCCCTGCCCCCAAATCTACTGAATTGGAATCCACAAACAGGTTCTGAAAATCCAGTAGCAGGTGTTCCCCGATGAGTCTCCAGGGAAGTGTGGTTTGGGACCCATTCCTGGTGAGTCTTCTGGAGGTTCACCCTTTTTTCCATAGACAGCACAACAACAGAGAGCAATGTTCCAAGCAAGACTGAAATGACACCAAAGCAGAAACCGACAGCTCTCTCTCCTGAAGGGGCCTTTTAAAAGGCCATATGAAATCACTTTCAAGGCACAAGTTTTCACCATGTTCACTCTCAAACACAACTGTTTCAGTCATTTTGGATTTTTTCCTGAAAATATTTCCCTTACGTTCCTTTTACCTAAAAATATTAGCAATTCTGTCTCAGCAATCATTCCAAAACCACCTCCTATTTTTCATTCTTCTTCCCTGTCAGAATTATTCACCCATTCCATGTGTAACTAACACACCATTATCAGAACTAACCATCATTTATGGAGGGCACACAAGGAACCTAGGCACTAGGCAGAGTAGGTAAGTTGTATTATTTCATTTAACCCACCCAGAGAGATGTCTCCATTTCACAAATTTAAAAAACTTACAGCCTGGCTAACAGAATGGGACTCCATCTCTACAAAAAATAAAATAAAGTGAAAATCAGCCAGGCATGGTGGAATGTGCCTATAGTCCCAGTGACTTGGGAGGCTGAGGTGGGAGGATCGCTTGAGCCCAAGAACTCAAGGCTACAGTGAGCCATGATGGCGCCGCCGCACTCCAGCCTGGGTGACAGAGTGAAGCCCTGTCTCTAAACAGACAGACAGACAAATAAATAACAAGGGATTGAGCAAGTTGTCCAGGGACACAATGTTACTTATTTCCAGAACCAAGGCTCAAGTCAGATTAATCTTACCCCAGAATCAACAGAATCATTTTCTTTCTTTTTGAATTCCTCTTTTGGCTCTTCATTCTTCTTTATTTATTCACTTCAACAGCAAGTAGACCATCAAAAGAAGGTTCTTTCCATTTAAAGACCTTTGCCACATGCTTTATTCAATAAGAAAAGAGACTCCATTGCAAAAATCATACAATGAGGAGAGGTAATGCCTGGGCAAAACAACGCAATGTAACCTATCATGCCTATTTCAACTGCCAAACCAGAAAAGCTAGGTTTAAATATGAACTCAGATGATTCTGATGTATCATCTAATAGAACCTGCTTCAACTTTTCTTGCCCAAATTATCTAAAGCATAACCTCTAGAGATACAATAAGAGAAACAAGGATAAAGTCAGAAGAAGAGGAAGACAGAAAAAAGCAGCAGCATAAGGGCAAACAATGAGGCCGGAGCACCTCTGTGCAATGTTTAAAAAGATGTATACAGCCAGGCATGGTGGCTCACACCTGTAATCCCAGCACTTTGGAAGGCTGAGGTGGGAGGATTTCTTGAGCCCCAGAGTTCAAGACCAGCCTGGGCAATATAGTGAGACCTTGTCTCACTAAGAGGAATTACCAAAGAATCAGAAGGAACACCTACAGAGAGATTTGTAACGTAAGTATAGCTAGCATACTTAATGATGAAAGACCAAATGTGTTCTTTCTAAGATTGGGAACAAGGCAAGGATGTGTGCTCTCACTACTCGTATTCAACACAGCACTGAAAGTTCTAGCCACTAAAATAAGGCATAAAAGAGAAGTAAAGTCATACAGAAAGAAAAAAAGAAGAAATAAAACTATCTCTGTTTGCAGATGACAGGCTTGTCTATATGGAAAATTCCAAGGAATCCATGAAAAAAAACCTCCTAAAACTAGTGAGTTCAGTAAGGTTACAGAATAAAAGATCAACCTGAAAAGTCCATCACATTTCTATATACTAAAAAAGGAATAAATGGAACAAAAATACCATTTATAACTGTACTCTAGAGAAAATATGTAGGTATACACAAAACATGTACAGTATCTGTATGCTAAAAATTACAATGTGATATTGAAAACAAATCAAAAACCTAAATAAATGGAGAGATACAGTGTGTTCCTAGACTCAAAGTAGTAAAAATGCCAGTTCTCCCCAAACTGATCTATACTATTAATACAATTCCTATTAAAATCCCAGGAAAGTTTTTGCAGACATCCACAAGACTATAAAACTTCTATAGAATAGCACAGGCCCTAGAATGGCTACAAAAATCTTGACAGAACAATCGAGAGAGAAGAATCTTTCTACCTGATATTGACTTACTGTACAGCTATAGTAATCACGACAGTGTGATATTGGTGGAGAGATAGGGACATCAATCAATGGAACAGAAGAGAGAACCCAGAAATAGACTCAAACAAATATGCTCAACTCATTTTTGATGAAGATATAAAATTAATGGAAGAATACCCTTTTCAACAGATGGTGCCAAAGTAACTGGAAAACCTTAGGCAAAAAAAAAGAGAAGATCAGCCTAAACCTCACACCTCATACAAACATTAACTCAAAATGGATCATCTATTTAAATTTCAATTGTAAAACTATAAAATTTTCAGAAAAACATAGGAGAGAATCTTGGTAACGTAGGGCTAAGCCCTACATTCTTAGTGTTCTTAGACCTGAACACTAAGAGCATGATCTATAAAAGGAAAATTTGATAAACTGAGCCTAATAAAAACTAAAAACTTTTCTGCCAAGAAAGCTCATAAAGACAAAATAACACAGGATAAACACACAAGTTACAGACTGGGAAAAATACTTGCACACCACAAATTCAACAAAGGACTAGTATTCAGAATATATTAAAAAAAAAACCTCTCAAAATTTAATAGTAAGAAGGAAAAAAATACAATTAGAAAAGAGAATCGGCAGAAGACACGAATAGTTCACCAAAGACGACATACAGATAGCAAATAAGCATGGGAAAAGTTGTTCAACATCATTACCCATTAGGTAAATGCAGATTCAAACTACAATGAGATATCACTACATTGGTGATCCAAAAGGCTAAAGTAAAAAATTAAAAATCAGTATCAATATCAATATCAAATTGTAATGTCAAAAATTGCCAAGGCTGCAGAGATATGTTGCTACAGGAATGCAAAATGGTACAGCCACTCTGGAAAACCATTTGCCAATTTCTCATAAAACTGCATACGTAACTACCACACAACCCAGCAATTGGACTCTTGGTTATTAATTCCAGAGAAATAGAAAATGTAGGTTCATAGAAAAACCTGTACACACATGTTCCCAGCAGCTTTATCTGTAATAGCCAAAAACTGGAATCAGTCCAGATATCCTTCAATAAGTGAAAGGTTAAACTGTGGCACATCTACACCTTGGCATATTACTCAACAATAAAACAGAACAAACACTGATATACACAAAATGGATGAGTTCCCGAGAATTATTCCAAGTGAAAGAAAAGCAATCTGCAAAGATTAAATATTGTATGATTCCACTTATGTAACATTTTTGAAGTGACAAAAGCTTTAGAAATGAAGACAGATTAGAGGTTTCTAGGAGTTAGAGATGGGAGGAGGGAGGAGGTAGGCGTGGTTATAAAAGGGAAACATGAGGGATCCTTATGGTATTGGAACTGTTCAGTATCTTGACTGGGATAGTGGATACATGAACCTACGCAAATGACAAAATTATATAGAATTTATACACACATGCACACACCTACATAATGCACATAATAAGTATAAATTAAAATCAGGAAATCTGAAGAAGATCAGTGGACTATATCCATATCAATATCCTGTGATATACCATAGTTTTACCAGAATGCTACCTTTGGGGAAACTAGGCAAAGTATATAAGTGATATCTCTGTATTATTTTTTACAACTGTATGTGAACCTACAATCTGAATAAAAATTTAAATTTAAAAAGTGCAGGTTGATAGCCAGAAGAGAGAAATTACATGGTGAGAATCCTGAAATATAAATGGTATCACTTTCAAATTTTTAAAGAGAACCAACTCTCATCTGCAGCAACAGGTGACATCACATCACTAAATAGGAAACTTCATTTTTTATCACTTGTTTCAGCCCCTAATCACAATAAAACTTAAACTGCTACCAAGAAGCCCAACAAACATATTTCGAAACACAAAACTTGACTTTCAAAAATAAAATGCCCTCCTGGTGATACTTTCAAAGTCAAAAGGTGGCCTACTCTGTCTTAAGACATGTGGATAATTGCTCCTCAGTTTCTAAGGTCAAAATCCTATACATTTATATGCACAGCATGCGATTTTACAAGCTCGGAAACCTGGAGCAAATGATTAGCTGAACTGTAAACTTAATCACTAGCAAGATAGGCCAGCAGATCTAAGAAAAAATAAAAAGACAAGGAGAAAAGCATTTTAATAACCATGAAGGTACTCTATTCTGTTGCTAAGCAGGAAGTTTACATGAAAGGGTGTGAGGTTCAGCTCTTTGTGGCTACTTCCCCTAAAAGTACGGTCCAAGAAACACCCTGCATCAATCACTTTCCAGATCCCTTGGCTCCCAGCCAGACCAACTAAGTCAGAGTAATGCTTGAAAAAACCACTGTGACAAGCTATGAAGTGACTCATACGCATGAGTTTCAGAAGCCCTGTTAGAACACTTACCTGTTTATAATTTACTGCTGTCTTCTTCCTGCTGAGGAGTGATTCTCATCAGGGATCCATTCTGCCCCTAGGGGATGTTTAACGACGTCCATCTGGAGACACTGGTTGTCACAGCTATGGGGGCAGAGGGCCCAGAGATACTGCTAACCATTCCACAATGTACAAGATACCCTCCTACAACAAAGACTTATGGGGCCCCAAATATCAATGGTGCTGAGATTCAAACTCCTGACAGAGAGGGATGCTAGCATTGCATTTAACAAAAGGATCGCTAACATACAATTAAAAAAAAAAATAAAAGCAAGATTAATAACTTAGAGCTACTAAGTGGATCTGATCTCCAAGGGCAAAGGTAGCTGTTACTCCCTTGATCTTCTCAAATCTGATTCATCCCAAGGAAGAAGGTTTTCTTTGTGACCATGTTTTAAGAGCCTCATTGCTGGAGCCATAAAGCCCAAGTTGAAATCACAGTTTTGACACTTAATATCTAATATCTGGGTGACATTAAGTTAGGCGATTACCTTTAGTAAGTCTCTATTATCTGTAAAGGGGAATTAATGACTGTTCTTCACCCTAAGAGCTGTTAGAAAAATGAAAATAAATAAGAGATGACTGTCAAAAACCATAGCATGGATCCCAAAAATAAATGTTTTGTTATTACTAATGAACTCTTTCCAATTTTTACTCCAGTCTTTTTATTTCTCAGCTGCCAACAGAGTAAACCATCTTTTTCAGATTAAATTTGGTTACTCTTTTAAATAGTTTCCAACTCCTCCAGCACCAGATAAGATAAAAGCTGACCTTTTTTTTTTTTTTTTTTTTTTTTTTTTTTTTTGACACAGAGTCTTGCTCTGTTGCCCGGGCTGGAGTGAAGTGGCACAATCTTGGCTCACTGCAGCCTCCACCTTCCAGGTTCAAGCAATTCTTTCGCCTCAGCTCCCAGTAGCTGGGATTACAGGCACGCACCACTACACCCAGCTGATTTTTGCATTTTTAGTAGAGACGGGGTTTTGCCATGTTGACCAGACTGGTCTTGAACTCCTGACCTCAAGTGATCTGCCCACCTCAGCCTCTCACAGTGCTGGGATTAGAGGCGTGACCATTTCTAATTAGCCTGTAAACTTAGTGCCAGCTGCTTTCTCTGCAAATAACACCCCCACCACCAGCTTCTCTATCAGTCCCAAATACTCTCAGGTAACAGACAACTTTAACAAGGAGGAAACCACCACTCCTATTAGCCCAGTAGTAAGTGACCTGACCAGCACCAAAGAAATGTTTGAAAGATACATCCTTTAAGAGTTGTTTGCATAAACGAAATGTTTCTCTTAAAAGTTCCCTAACCATACCAACTGGATGCCCCCGCTCAAGAATCCAAGTCCAATCAACAAATATTTATTATACACCACTGAAAGCCTGATGATAAAATGGTGAACACACAGACGTAGCTCCTGCCCTTAATAATCATGGTTTAGAAGAAAATGTTTCACATAAAGACTCCAAAACATACCTCATTAGATGAAAGAAAACCTGTCTTACCAAAAAAAGTATCACCCAGTCCTCAAGTGGATTTTTGTATGAGCCATCCAAACTGCAGAGGCAGCTGCGCCATAGCGGTTAAGACTACCAAAGCTAACGGTAGATAATGGGCTCTTCCACCTACAGTCAATAATCAATCACTCTGGGTAATCACTCTGGATCTACTTTGCCCAAAATGCTAAAAAGAGATATTGACATTGACTACCTTATGGGGTTCTTATGAGAATTAAGTTAGTTTAACAGTACCTGGGGCTCAATTTATAGTGGCTATTTTTATACTTATTACCAAAGGAATTGGGATTTCAAAAACTGGCATCCTGCAGTTCATAATTCTTCAACAAGTCTACAAGAACATCTTTCAGCAGCTTGCAGACACACTGACTTTCCCAAAATATGCTATCTCCTAAAACATTGATAAATTCTTAAATTTTCTGTACTGAGAGCACTCCAATTAGAACTTCCTCCACTATCACACATGGCTCCCAGCAGCATTCATCTGCACCTCATCAGCAGTCGACGATAATGACGTGCCACCCATCAAGATAACAGTCTAAATGTAAGAACATCTGTTACATCCCTGCATTAGAAACTGGGAATGAAGGTTTTGAATCGAGTTTGATTCTTATGCTGTATTGTATCTACTCTTTAGTTATTAACCAGCCTAACCCCTTAAGATGGTCTTATTAAAAACTGAACAAAGTGAGCCCCAATTTTTATTTCATTCATTAATACACATACATATCAATAATCAATTAAAGGGACCCAGGTACTTTTTTTTTTTTTTGAGACAGAGTTTTGCTCTTGTTGCTCAGGCTGGAGCGCAATGACACGATCTCGGCTCACTGCAACCTCCCCCTCCCGGGTTCAGGCGATTCTCCTGCCTCAGCCTCCTGAGTAGCTGGGATTACAGGAACGTTCCACCACACCCGGCTAATTTTGTATTTTTAGTAAAGAAGGGGTTTCTCCATGTTGGTCAGGCTGGTCTCAAACTCCTGACCTCAGGTGATCCACCCGCCTCTCCCTCCCAAAGTGCTGGAATTACAGGCATGAGCCACCGCGCCTGACCCAGGTACCTATTTCAGCATTGAAATCACATGGTGGCTCATGCCTGTAATCCCAGCGCTTTGGGAGGCTGAAGTGAGAGGATCACTTGAGCCAAGGAGTTTGAGATGTGCCTAGGCAACAAAGCAAGACCCTATCCCTACAAAAAATCAAAAGGTTAGCTGGGCATCGTGGTGTGCAGCTACACAGGACACTGAGGCAGGAAGATCACTTGAGCCCAGGATGCTGAGGCTACAGTAGGCCAGGATCGTGCCACTGCACTCCAGCCTGGGCAACAAAGCAAGACTCTGTCTCAAAAGAAGAAACAAAAAATCACGTGGTATGGGCTGGAAACCTAGTTTCTACTACTTGAACTAGTTGAATGGATTGGAGAATGTTCCATAAGCTCTCTCTCTCTGAGATATACTTTCCCATCTGTAAAATGGAGATAACAGTATTAACTACTTCACAGAGCCATTATGAAGACTGAATGAAAAATCTTTCTTCAAAATGGTCCAGTGCCTAGCACATTACCAGCAGTTAGTAAATTTGCACTATTATTTTCATAAAGGCAGCTATAAAATTATTTTAAAGATTAAATTTATTTACTGAAAATGCATATCAGTTTGTATTAATTTACTGAAAAAAAAAAAGAAAAGAAAACTTAGTGAAATCACACAAACATTTTTCTCATAATGCTAATTTCCACAAGGAACAACACAAAAGTAGGTGAACATCTTACACAGACTATCTTCATTACAGTAAGAAACTGAGCCTTCCCATGATAGAGGATCAAAAATATTTCAGGAAGTACTTTGTGTATAATGGCTTACAAAACACTTTGCCTCTCTTTAGATTAAAATGCGTTTTCTAGTTTAAAACTAGCCTCTGATGATCTCCACTGCTCTCAGCTACCTCATGTGCTTTCCAGAGGGTAAGCATCTGTAACAACATTCTTGACCTTAAAGTTCATTCTTTCAATTCTGTCTCCGTTCACCATCATTAGGTGATTCTCAGGTTGATTCACCAAAAAATGGCTATGAATGAAACAATTCTTTTAAATCTGTAGAGATGTGTTTCCATGAACAGACTAAAATTAAATGGTTTACACATAGAAAATCTCCACATTGTCTTTCAGGGGATTCAGAAAATTGGTCTTTCAAGGGATAGAGTCAAGCCAGCTGGGATCAAACGCAGGGTAGGATGGAGGATGACAAAGGTCACTGAGATTAAGTTTATTTTTATTTGTATTTTTATTTTTTTTGGAGATGGAGTCTCGCTCTGTCACCCAGGCTGGAGTGCAATGGTACGCCTCCCTGATTCAAGTGATTCTCTTGCCTCAGCCTCCTGAGTAGCTGGGATTACAGGCGCATGCCACAACGCCTGGCTAAATTTTGTATTTTTAGTAGAGATGGGGTTTTGCTATGTTAGCCAGGCTGGTCTCAAACTCTTGACCTCGTGATCCACCCACCTCAGCCTCCCAAGGTGCTGGGATTACAGGCATGAGCCACCGCAACCAGCCTTAAAAAATTTTTAAACATGCAACATATATATCTGGAAAAAAAAGTTGCTATCCGTAAAAACATCAAATTTTCAAGAATAAAATGTAATATTAAACTCATCAAAGTTGGCAAAAGTACTTACTAATTATAAAACAAAGAGCTATCTTTTCATATGGATGTAAAGTAACAAAACATTATTTGTAGAATGCTTCGCATTCTCTCACACTTACATAAGCAATGTCTCCTTTCAAAAGCTGAATGGCAGGTAGAAAGGACTCATGCTCTCAAATGACAAGCACTGACATGGATTTCAAACCTGAAGGCTGGAGTAGGGCTCAAGTTGGGTTTAGACTTTTTTTAAAAGTCAATTTTTACACTGAAAACTCTTTCTCAAATTCAGCAGTTGGAGGTGGAAATTATTTCAAGTCACTGCATGTTTAGAACAAAAATGGATAGAAGGTAGTAAAATACCTGTTAAAATATTAACATTATTATAAAAATAGCTGCTTCAAGGAATGTTTGTTCTTTTGTTGTTGCCAAAGCTTCCAGGCATCTTTGCTCAAAGACTATGGAGTTACTGAGTTAGGACCTGAAAGGAAAATTGAAAAAACCTGACCCTAAAAAAAAAAAAAAACAAAAAAAAAACAAAGAACAAGAAACCCGCCCAAAACCCATAAATACTTCCACTGACCATCGCCTTGCACAGCAAAGTGCTGCGCTTGGTTAATCAAACAGACTAAGATACATTCACAGAAAAGGAGAACCAAAGAATGAATGACAACATCCTTCACTAAATTGTTACTTTAGTTAAATCTGGCCATTCAGTTAACCTTAAATACTAAGCTATGGATAATTTTCCATCTAATAAATACTTTAAGGATAATAATTGAGTTTCAAGTCTGACCTTCAGACTGCAAAATGAATCACACTTTGTTACTAAAAAGAATGCAACAGCTGTCCTCATATACTCTGCAGAAAAGCTTAAGTGGGAAAAACTTAAAATATCTTCGTACAAAAAGTATGAGAATAGTTATGTGCAAAATCTCTTGATTTGGAGGCCCCTTAACAGAATACTTGCTAAAATAATTCCATGTGTTTCAGAGAGAATGCCCCCCATCATCCGTTTCTCTGACATTCTTGTTTGCAGGTATGTCTCTGTATTATAAGTTGGTGTTTTTAATTAAATCCAGATTACGAATATTGGCCTTCTCCAGAACTGACAAGGGAAATAAGCTAAACATTAAAATAACAAGAAGAAAATACACACTAAATCACATCTGCAGTTTAGGATGGAAATAGTTTAAGAAGGCATGATTGATTTCTGGGGAAGAGTGTGATGCCATCCCTCCTTAAAAACCATCCACCTACAGGAAGATTCCATTTTAAAACAATGTAAATTAGCTTTAAGTAGACTGTAATGTTCAAATGAGCTAACGACTCAAGCATACAAACCAGAAATAATAACAACAGCTTTTCATATGGGCAACATAAAAATACTAACGGAGATAACACGGCAACACTTTAATGGCTAAGTTTTCACATTACTGAGTATGTAAACATGTCACTATCATGTTAAAATTTAACTTTGCTAATCAAGTTAGACATGTACAAGTTAGGGTCATGGATATATAACACAATGATCAGCTTGAAGAGAGCACACTCGCCAAATCTGGGACAATCAATTTGAACAGCAAAATAACAATAGTAATATATTATAACCCACCGAATAAGGCAAGAATACATGAGCCCCAATGATAAAGTCAAACGAATAAATAACTAGAGGAGGAAATAAAGTGCTTCTTTCCAGTAGAATGACAACAAAGGTACAGAAATACATATATAGAAATCACAGAGTTAGAAAACCACCACTTGGCAACCATAATAGTAATAGCAACAATTATCAAAGTATATTCAAGTTAATGGGTAAAGGTTCGATGAAAAATATGGTATTTACACAGATTCAAAGTATCATCTTACAAGTCACTTTAACTTGAGAAAACATTATTAGCTTTACAGTTGAGAAATTTTATAAACTGGCATCCACTGCCTCCTGATATGCACTGAGAAAAACACAATATCACTAATAATTATTCCTGCATGACCCAAATCAAATCACAAAGAAGTATCAGGGAAACCTAATTTGAGAGACATTCTGCAAAATAACTGCCATATACTCTTCAAAATGTCAATTTCATAAGATTCAAAGACAGACTCAGGAACAGTTCCAGATTAAGAGAGACTAAAAAGACATGACAACAAAATGCAATGTATGATCTGGCTTGGGAAGAAATCTCCTATAATAGGAACAAAGAGACAAAGGCTGAGATTGAAACTTAGAATAAGGATTGAGAGAATAAAATCATACCAACACTGAACTCCTCAATTCAGATAACTATACTTTTGTTATGTAAGAAAATACCTTTTTTTGGCTGGGTACTGTGGCTCAAGCGTGTAATCCCAGCACTTTGAGAGGCCAAGGCGGGCGGATCGCAAGGTCAGGAGATCGAGACCATCCTGGCTAACACGGTGAAACCCCGTCTCTACTAAAAATACAAAAAAATTAGCCGCGCATAGTGGCAGGGGCCAGTCCCAGCTACTCGGGAGGCTGAGGCAGGAAAATGGCGTGAACCCGGGAGGTGGAGCTTGCAGTGAGCCTAGATTGCACCACTGCACTCCAGCCTGGGCGACAGAGGAAGAGCCCCTCTCAAAAACAACAAACAAACAAACAAAAAAAACAACCCATTTTCCTAGAACAGAAATAGAAAATTATTTAAAAGTAAAGGGGCATAATACGTCTAAAACTTCACTAATAAATACACACAGACGGACAGACAGACACACACACACACACACACACAAAGATTTAAAAATTAGTGAAACTAGATCAAAAGTATACAGACGGTTTTTGTACTTTTCTTTCAACTTTTCTCTAAGTTTGAAATTATAAAATAATACAAAGGTACTCCAAAACCTCTTCACAGTATAGAGGAAGACGTGATTCACCATCACATAATACCTATTTTAGCGCCTTCTGTGTCTTTGACTTTGGCTCTATGTTTGTTGTTTTTTGGTTTTTTTACTTGGACTTACTTTAATCCATTTTGGTATTCTCCAGAGCTCTCTGACTGAATCTATAACGTTGTCCCTGTGAAAAATTAGATTTTAAGTAATGTTCCTCTAATATCTTTGCATTTCCAGGAATGTGACCTCAGCAATATAGATGAGTGGTGTATTAATTTTTCTTTAAGAATAAAGAATATATGCAAAGATACTCTGAGGTCTTCATTTTTGCCCTAAATAAATATGGATGATTTAACCATCAGCCTTTTTTTTTTTTTAACTTACTGAAAGCCATCATCCATAATCAAGGTCTGGTAATATATGGCATAGAATTTGCAAAACAACAGTAGTCAAACCACGTAATGTGATTACTGTCCAAAACTACCACACAGCAATCAAAAGGTTAAATAGCAGCTCACATAAAAAGTTCCCAGAATTTCATGAATTGGTAAAGGAACTTCCTTTCTGGTGTGTGTCTGCATTTGGTTTGGTTTTTTGTTTTGTTTTCCTAGCCTAAAGAAATCTGAATACACTTCAAGACTGGGGACATGTTTGTAAACAGTACACTGGGAAATCTCTAAGTGAGAAAATCTTCAAAGTTTTGCTGGACTCTTTATTCTTAGCATGTGTTTTTCACTATGTCTAGAGCTCTTGTTAGAACTGGTTTAATGGCTCTTAGTTAGAGCAAAGAAATGATTGCCAGGGGCTTAGAAATCACAGCAGAGTATCGTCCTGTGAATTTTCTTTTTCAACTTTCCTTCTCTCCTCACCAAGGGCTGAAATTGTCTTACCAGGCTGAAATGAGTGTTTGATGATGGCATTAAAAATATATATATATATATATATATATATATATATATATATATATATATATGCATGCTATGGTTATACTTTAAAAATAGTTTTCCGAGATAATGCTTAAGTGGAAAACAATCAGAAAATAAGAGATGTTTCCTCTTACTAGTGGCGCACACAAGATATTAGTAGCGCACACAAGATGCTTCACTGGTTTGCTTGATCGTCCATGAACACTGTGCGCTGTTTGACCTCGTCCCTAATCAAAGCTTCACTTAAAAAAAAAAAAAGTCCAGTCCTCTTCTGATCAATTCTCTAACAGCAGAAAAATTCCAGGATACAGAGAGTCTATGAAGCAAACATGTAATCAACTGTTTACACCCAATTAAGCAGAAAATAAAAACCTTCTATTTGGAAGAAGATTATCTATAAAACACAAATTTGGAAAGAAACAGAAAATGGAAAAGCTAGTTAATGTAGTTCAAAATAGTTTGGGGCCATGGGTAGCTAGGAGGTACATACCCAGCAATATGTCTTGCATCAAACAGCCCTACCTGTTAACTCCCCATCTTCCTGATTGAAGCTTTCTGTCTTTCCACCTTTGACTTCTGCAGATCCTAACAGCAGTGGAGGTGGCAAGGGGCAGGGCGGGGAAGGCATACAGGACAAGTTGTAGACCATCCAACATCAGACATCAATATCCTTCAACACTATCTTACTGACTCCTAGTCACTGATCAGTGCAACGATTTCCCCATGATCTCAAACCAAAATATTCAAAAATACTCTCTACAAAAAGAGGAATATACAAATATAGGTAAGTAAATGAACTACTAGGTAGTCATTGAGACTTGAAAACTCAATGCAGAAAGGTTTACTTTTGTGTGTCTCCTCAAGTAGCCATAAAAAGTAACAGTTTTAACCTCCATCTCCTATAAGAGGAGGGTTATGGTTATAATTTCTCCACCTGAATCCACTTACCCACTTTTCTTCCTCAGAAGGAAGACAGTTCTTCTGATTTGAAATTGGAAGGAAGGATCGAGCAGGAATAGCGAAGTTATCTTCCAAGTTATCTAAACTGTGGGATAACTTTTCCATGATAGGTTCTCCTCTCTCTTTCTCCAAGTAGTACATGACATGTCAGGGGGTGGTGCTCGAGTTGTCCTGGGTCAGTGTCCAGGGTTTCCCTCTCTCCCTGTGTGTGCATGTGGTGTCTTCCATCTACCTGTGGTCCATTCTGAAGGCACCAGAAGTGTAAGAAAATGACTATCAGTGTAGCTGGCTGAATAAGAATCTACCCTACCTACCCCAGCTCTGTATTAAACAGGTCCCAAGATTTAGACCCAACAAAAAGGTGGTGAAAGGTGAGGTGACACATGCCTATAGTCCCAGTTACTCAAGCTGAGGCGGGAACTGCACTTGAGTCCAGGAGTTCAAGTCCCTAGAGAGCTACGATAGTGCCACTGCACTGTAGTCTGGGTGACAGAGCAAGACCCTGTCGAGAGAGGAGAGGAGAGGAGAGGAGAGGAGAGGAGAGGAGAGGAGAGAAGGAAAAGAGTGAGTCTATAAATGCTCCACTGTATTGGTAGATCCAAACTGTGTTGTCCAATATAGCATTACCATTGATAAAATGGATTGTTTGACCTTTAACATCTGGCCTTTATTGCAATTGGTGTAAACATATTGGGGTTAAATGTGAGAGGATAACAACGAAGTAGGATAGCAAGACTGCACATACACGAGTCCTCACGTGAATTAATGTGCATATGTACAAATAGGAAAAGAAATTAAAAAAAAAACACCGACAGTGGCTAGCTCTTGGGGGCAGAAGTATGGATAATCATTTTTGCCTCTGTAATCTTCAGCATATTTTCCAAATATTCTACAGTAGTAAAAAAGAAATCCACACAGGTGGTTTTTTGAAACAAACAGCAGAATAGAGATCTGCAGTCAAAATTCAGAATACATTTTGCCCAGTGTCTGCTTCTAAGCAAACTGTCATAGTTTACCGTTATATGATCTATGAAATTTACAAATTGAGTGAAAAGACAGCAAAAACCTCACCTCTACACCTCATCTACTTGTATTTTCATAAAAGAGCACGATTTTCAAATTGGCAGGGTGCAATAAATGACATTTTACTACAGCCGACAATGAAAGCAAACACCACACATCAAGATTATTTACCAAATGCACACGCAGGACAGATCTGTAAGCGACTCTGGGCAGGAGAACAGGTACTCTGATTAAACCTGAGGCATCCCACTTTCCTTAGCTTTAACCATGTTTTTCCCCTGGGGTTTTCTTTTGCTAGGGGAATTTTAAATCTGTCAGGAATCCAATTTGAAGATCACTCCCCTTAGAGTTTAGTAGTAATGGCAAGTGGAAAACTTGAACCACAATGTAGCCTTGTACCTGCTTTTTCAAATCAAGAAGAGACGAGGCCCTTGAAAGGTAAATAAACTTCATGCCCTTAAAGAGAATTTCAACTTTTCCAAAGAAGAAAAGTTAAAGTATCATTCCAATTATGTGGACATTCTTCACCTTTCTGAACACATCAAACCATTGCCAGCCCGGAAGTCTCTGTGTAAACTGGTCCTCCACCAAGGACAACATCCTACGAAAACAAGCAAAACCTTGTATCTTCTCACTTTTCTTGATTCACCTTAAATGCAATCTTGAAAAGAACTTCCATAGTCTTTTCTTCTAGGCAGGTCAACTCTATCAAAACTTTCCTCCACATGACTTGACACAATTTCTAATCATTTAATGCATTTGTTTGTTTATATAACTTTTGCTATCTTCCCCACCAGACTCAATTCCCTGAGGGCTGACCCAACATATGCTCAGATAACCTTATAATCTTAATATTCATTTCACCGAGCTGGTATACCATGTGCCTTCATATTAAAGTGAAGCACACTAACTTTAACCCAATTACTAAATCACTATTCTGCCACTTACAGCATTTGATTGGAGTAACATAATTATCAATTTAGCAACCATACAGCTAGGTTTCGAAAGGGGGATAAAGAAACGGCTCAGGAGAAAAAATGTAAAACTCCCAAAACAATTTAGCAGAGTCAAGAAGAAAGAGGTGACTATAAATGTCCTAAGTATGTCATGGATTGTCCAATGTCTTCTGCCATTTTAAACCACCAAAAGCTTGTAAGCAAAGAAAACAAGCATACAACTAAGAATGTTGTACACCTGTAATCCCAACACTTCGGAAGGCCAAGGTGGCAGGATTGCTTGAGGCCAGGAGTTCAAGAACAGCCTGAGCAACATGGTAAGACCCTGTCTCTACAAAAAACAAAAACAGAAATTAGCTAGGTATGCTGGTACATGCCTATAGTCTCAACTACTTGAGAGGCTGGGGTGGGGAGGATTGCTTAAGCCTGAGAGGTAGGGGCTACAGTGCGCTGTGATTGTGCCACTGCACTACCAGCCTGGGTGACAGAGTGAGACCTGGCCCCACTCCACCCTGCCTTCCAAAAAAAGAGCGACTTTGACAAGGTAACTATTTCAACCCATAAAAGGTATCTCAAACTTCATGATATGTATTTTTATATTAATCTCATTTCTGGCCCTGTTTTATATCCTAACACACAGACACTATTTTTTTGTCCCCATGGAATTCTTATTGACTCTTACATATTCCTGTAAGCTATTTTAATTCCTTTTCTGGAACGAGAGGAGTTTTGAATTACTAAATAAGGACTCTTACTTTACAGGTATTTTTAAAGGACATCCTAGCAGGAGAAGTTATTCCTCCTGGAACAATCCAGGAAAAGTTTCTGGAGGACAGGACTTTTGCACCGTTAGACCCCAGGTGGAGAACCACAGGGAAGGGCACACAGAAACAAGGAACATCAGGAGCCTCCCCAGTACACAGGTGACAAAGGACCTGATGTATTAATAAGACCATAAGTGGAGGGGTGGTTTGGTCAGAAGACAGTGCATGGTGTTCAGCAAATAATTTTTTCATCATTATTCTAAGCTTCTTCAAGTTACATTGTAAAGATAAACCTTTACAATGATAATTAAAGATAAAAGGAAAAAGTCCCCAAGGACAGACACCCTGGAGGCCCAGCTTGAACACCTCACCTGTGCGAAATGCCACAGTATTGAGCTGTTGGTGACCATCTGTGCATGTCACCAGCCATAATGAGAAGTTTTGAACACAGGGGTTGAAGGTTGCAAAGTGAGCTCTGTCTGCTAAGGAGAAGAGTGGCACTGGGGTAACCATTAAGCATCTAGTAGAATCCCCAGCCAAGATGGCAGAGGCCTGAGATGGCAGCAGAGGAAATGGAAAATGAAGGCTGAATACTGAAGGAGATTTTAGAAGAAGAACAGAGGAGAATGGGGCACCCATTTAATCAGCAAATACCTCCTGTGGGTCTAGTCTTTTTAGAAACACGTATGATACAGAAACAAACAAAAACATGTACTCTGGACTACTCAATCCAATGGGAAAGACAGACAGGTGAACAAGCAGTGGCACAGGGATTCAAATCCAGAGACGAATACTCTGAATTAAGAGGCCAACTAGCATGATGTGCAAGGTATTTAGATATGTAATTCTAAGACATCACTTTTGACATTCATGGAAGTATGCAGGACTTTTGTAGAAAAACACAAATAAGTGAGATGGCACACAGCTTAAATAAAAGCCCTTAGTACCTCATACTAACTCTGCCACCAAGATAGAATTATGACAAATCATCATCTCCAAGATCAATGACTCATCTTTCAAATTTAATTAAGAGCAACTCCATAGTAAATGCTTTCACCTAATTTCAAACTGTGTCATCTCAGAACAGTATAGTTTCAGGGACATTTTGGCTTCCCAAAACAGAGTACAAATCTATTTAACAAACCTAGCCTTTTAGCAAGCAATTCCAGCTGAGCAAGTCCCTTTTCAGAGGAAACAACTTCCCAACTAGTCACTGGAATTGTGTAAACAACACACGCAGTTGACTGACCCACCATTTATAAGTTACCCCAATACTCTTTAACTATATTTCAAAATGCCCAGTGATTTTCCCATTCAGAAAGTTGTTCACAGTTTTTGTTCTCAGAAGATGAAAGACTTGACATGTATTTTCTTTAAAAGGGGGTATACTGTCAGTTGTAATGGCATGTAACTAGGAGTCAATCAAATGTAGAACTCCCTTCGCATAAGCTCTTACCCCCAGCATGAGACTCCATGAGGAAAAGCAGTAGCTCTGCTATACACGGGTCTAGTTATATACATGATGACTGGAACTGAAAGAGTTGGGCAGGACTGTCAGGGGAACCAAAATGTCAATAGTGTTGAGGTTGGGAAACACTATTATGGAGGAATACAGATCTACAAAGTATATCAGAGCCTGTGATTTTCCAACTGTGTCCAATGGTTCTGAAGAGGCTCATCAGGCACCATCTAAGACAATGAAAAGGAAGCCAAGAGGATAGGTATCTGGGCTAAGGTTCTCTCTTCATTTCTATATATAGGAGGGAGAGGAGAGGAAGGAAGTTGTGTAAATGTATTTGAGGAAAGTGTTCTTTACCTAAAATAAATCTAGTCAACTTCATAGAAGCTTTTATCACATTCACTGTATTACTAACTTGCTCATGGAAAACCCAAATGGCTAGAAAAACCTCCTTTAGAAAACAGGAGCTTTCAGATCTGCATGCAGTGACGGTGAAATGGTCTATTTGGGTCCCTAAACAGCGTCCAGCACATCATGAAGGTTCATCGATTGCTGCTGTGTTGCATATTTGTAAACTCACAGTCGTCTGACTCACCACCTGGGATTCTACCTGGGAGGCTGGCAAGGCAGATGTTACCACCACCATTGTTCTCTCTAAGATTAAAACCATTTTATTTTGTCTCTAATACATTTCTCCCCAAGTTGATAGATGCAGTAGTAACCAATAGTAAAACAGTCATGCATACAATTCATCTTCTCACAGAGAATCATGACTTTACAAGCACAGACTTACAATCTATCGGGAAAGAAGAAGGCTGTTTTTAGAGAGCAAGCCCCTTGTAAACCTCACTTTGTTATAAAGTACTGTTCTTTGTATATGATGTTAAATTTGATGTGCTTAAATTTTATTAAACATTTTTATATCTGGAAAAAAAAAACCCTTGTAAAATGATAAGGACAGGGCCACAAATGATATTAAGAATGCCAAGAGGGTAACAAATGAGTGGAATGAAGATTAATAGGGGCTATAACAAAATTTAAAATTAAAAAAAAAAAAAAAAGACAGCATAGCATGGTCTCTCTAAAAGGTCAGTAGAAACTGACCCCATTGGAAATCTCCTGGGATAAAGAGACCCAATACTCTATGACTCCAACTCCCACTACTGGTTACTACTCTGAATGCTAATCCACGTTACCGTGGTCCATAGGACAAATATTTACAACCTAATCAATCAAGTCTCCCCCTCTTCTCCTATATCCCAAGATTTCTGGCTAAACATTTCATGCAATCACGTTCTCATTCTTTTAGCTCTTCTTCGCATTAAATGGCTTCATACCTCATCACCTGGCCATAGGTCTCTCTCTTTTTTTTTTTTTTTTTTTTTTGAGACAGGGTTCGCGTTGTCACCCAAGCTGAGGTGCAGTGGCGCAAACACAGCTGACTGCAGCTTCGACTTTCCAAGCTCAAGCAATCCTCCTTCCTCAGCGCCCCCAACAAGTAGCTGGGACCACAGGCCTACACCAACACACCCAGCTAATTTTTGTATTTTTTGTAGAGATGGGGTTTCACCCTGTTGGCCAGGCTGATCTCAAACTCCTGAGCTCAAGCAATCCACTTGCCTTGGTCTCCCGAAGTTCTGGGATGAGCCATTGTGTGCGGCATGAGCCATTGTGCACGGCCGGTCCGTTGCTAAATGTATTCTAAAATACAAATTCTAGAAAAGGTAGCAGTGGGGAGATAGTCTAAAAATTTTACATTTGTCAATTTCTTAATCTGTCAGCCTCTAGCAAGACTCTAAGTTTCTTATTAACTGTTATTTCCCCAGAACATCAATTATGCCTGGTATTTGATAAGCACTCAATAAATATGTGATAAACAGATGAATTTAAAAATCCCTGCCAGATGTGACATTGTATTACTGGAATCAAAAACTAGTGGTGCTGTCTCATGACAGAATGCAGTAAAGCTGCATACAAAGGGACCTGTCAAAGGAACCATCACTAGGTCATTTTTGAAGTGAATACTTCATGTGAAAAACCATAGGCTGTAGTGAAGACAATCCTTGGTTCAGTTTTTGACATTCTCAGTTGTAAAAGGAATTTTGATTTGTTTCATTATAACGTAAAGGCTTATACAAAGCACCATACGGAGCTGAGCTAGGATAAAAATATACATACAGATAGTAGAAGGATATAAACCCTAAAATCCATTAGGAAAGCAAGAATGTCCACTCTCACTATTCTATTCAACACTGCACTGGAGGTTCTAGTTACAGCAATTAGGCAAGAAAAAATAAAAGGCATATAGATTGCAAAGGAAGAATTAAAACCACCTCTGCTCACAGATGACATGCTCTTGTATATAGAAATTATTTAAAATCTACTAAACAACTATTAGATCCAATAAACTAATTGAGCAAAGTGTCAGAACATATCCCTGTCATTAAGTAACATATGACTGAATAAAATTCAGTTTTTGGATTAATCTCATTTAACCTAAAAATGAGATTAAGAAAACAATTTCGTTTAAAAAAAATCAAAAAGAATAAAATATTTAGGAATAAGTTTATCCCCCAAAATACAAGAATTATACACTGAAAACTACAGAAAACCGTAGAAAGAAAGAAAAGAAGACCTCGATAAATGGGAAAAGACTCCCATGTTCCTATATCAGAAGACTTAAAACTGCTCTAATATTGCAGTATGAGCTGATCGTGAGGACGCAGAGAAAAACACAGCCTAGAAGCATAGCAAGAAATCTGTCTCTCTAGGTTTTTATTGCCTTGGTAATCAACACTCAGGGTGTCTGATCACCATGTAAAGTGAACAGCATTATAGTCCTGCAGCTCACACTGTCCAATGACTTTTCTGAGCAATTTTTACACCTTTGGTTCATTACTTATCAAAAAAGGAAATGGGGTTAATGTCACAGGATTTGTTCCTAGTAAATTTATATTGGTTCTTAATAATCATTACTTTTCAGTTTTTTATACTCGATTAGATTTACCTCCTGTTAATATATAGAAGTACTTACAAAGACCAAGGAATTCTAGTATGCACAGGTTAGTGATCTTATAAAATAAGACGCCTTACTAGTAAAACCATGTCAGTTGATACATGTAATAAACTATCAAAGCATATTAAAATATTCTGTACTCTCATTCCAAAAATATAGGACGGTTCTATTGTGTTTTATACACCTGGGGGCCAGGCACAGTGGCTTATGCCTGTAATGCAAGCACTTTGGGAGGCAGAGGAGGTAGGATGGCTTGAGCCCAGGAGTTCGAGACCAACCCGGGCAACATAGTAAGACCTCATCTCTACTAAAGATAAAAAAATAAAATAAGCTTAGCCAGGCATGGTAGCACACGCCTGTAGTCCCAGTTACTTGGGAGACAGAGGCAGGAGGATGGCTTGAGCCTAGGAGGTTGAGGCTACAGTGAGCCCTGATCCTGCCACTACACTGCAACCTGGGTGACAGAGCGATACCCTACCTGTCTTAATGAAAAACAAAAACAAACCAAAAACAACCTGGGGAGATGTCAAGTCAAGCCAAAATAGAAATGCAAACTAAAAACAAACAACAACAACAAAACACTGGTGTTCACATTTTGTATTGCTTATCCTGACTCAGAAATCAATAATCAAACAGAACCCAAAAGAAGAGATAGAAGAATTAAATCCTACCAGCTCATATAAATCCTTCCAGCTCATATTTACTATCGCTATTGTGTGGGGAAGGCACAGCAGGGCAAATGGACCTATCACTCAGAACGCTTGTCAAGACTTCGGAAATTAATTTCTTTCCATGTGACATAGCAAATTCCCCAATATTAATAAAAGGCTCCATCAATAAAACAGAAAATGTTAAGTGTTTCAGTGAGTTTGGGTGATAAATGTCAGAATATGAACAACAATTCTGATACCCTAACACTTCTTGAGAAAATTATCTCATACAAAAAATCCCAAATTTAACAACAGAGATCTCAGGAAGTACTTCTCTCACTTAATGAGCCTTGGCAGCATTTCAAATTAAACACTCTATTGTGCGAGGAGCTAATTATGTTAAGATTAAACTCAAAGAATGATAGGGACATTTACTGTACTCTGAGTAATTATGCTGGCCTTCTATATTCAAAAATACAACTTCTTCTTCCTAATTCTGAAAGGTCGCTAACCCAATATATTCCACAACACACACAGTTTGTTCAGAGTTTAAATACCTTGGAAGCAAAGAGAAGACTTTTTTCTTTTACCAACTAGCATGCATTTTACATTTTCTCCTTTTTACTGTCATCATTTTCATTATTTCAGTCTCATTGCATCATAAGCTTCTGCATGCAAACACGTTAACATCCCATGAGCATGTTTCCGATGTGCAAGTAAGCAGTTACTACTTTTTCTACCAGGGTATACACAAAAACTATTGAGATTTAATCTGTTTAGTATGCTTGCATTAACCACTCAATTATGATAAATTTCTGTGAATTGGTTGGTCAGCTGTTTCCCCCGCTTTCTGGTCTAATGATAAACTACACAACAACCACATGTAGGCACCTTTGTGGCTTCTCTGTGGTTTACTTATTAACCCCCTGCCGGTAACCTAAGCATTTGCACCAGAGTTAAAAACCCTAAATTAACTTCTGAGGGCCAGGCCAGGCCAGCATTCTCAAACATCTCTCCAATGCTGCAGAACATCCACGTTCTTAATACTTAGAAAATAATAAATATCCAAATGCTAAGGCATGTTTCTGTGCTCCCTGCATAACCAAAGTAGTCCAAAATATGTAAATAAAAGCCAGAAACTGTGGACTTTAAAATATAATTTTTCTTCCCTGCAAATTAAAATGCAAAATATTCTTATATTTAGACCCAGATATTTAATGTCTGGAGTGCTACACTTTAGAAACAAAAGAATTAAAAAGGAATGCAAAGATTGCACAAGGCAAAGACCTCAAATCCTCCTGACACAAAAATGTAAGCCTGAATTACAGGCGGTATTTCTTAATGTCAAAAAAAAAAGGAATAAAGGGAGAACCACAAGAACGAGAATGTTCAACACTTTATGACCTCACTCTGTTACAGACTACTTAAGTTAAGTAAATACATTATGACAAATTCTAAAAATGTAATATTTTAGGCAGATAAATGATATTAGGCAGAAGTATATATATTGGGAAAAAAACATGAATTACTATTAAGTGGTAGTGGGGAAGGAGGAGGAAGCTAGTTATATTAATAGAAGGGCTTATACCTTTTTGTATTAGAGACAGGGTTTCACCATGTTGGCCAGGCTGGTCTCAAACTCCCGACTTCAGGGGATCCGCCCGCCTCGGCCTCCCAAAGTGCTGGGATTACAGATGTGAGCCACCACGCCCAGCCCGGAAAAGAAATTGTTTAACCTAGTTTTGTTATGCATACTAATTATTACTTTTTAAAAAAATAAGTTTGTATTGAGAGAAGTTTAGATTTATAGAGAAGTTGCTGCTAAAACAGTACAAAGAATATATCCCTGACCCAGCTTCCCCAAATGTTGACTGTGGCCCACAGCCACAGTACAATGATCAAAACCAGGAAATTGACACGAGCGTGACAGAATTAACTCATCAACTGAATGAAAAATCTTATTTGAATTGTACTAGATTTTCCCTTAATGTCCTTTTTCAATTCCAGCATCTTATCCAGGATCCCACATTACATTTAGCTGTTATTTCTCCTTAGCCCTCCCCAATCTATAAAAAGTTCTTCAGTCTCCTGTCTCTCATGATCTTGACAAAGGAGTACAGATCACTTACTGTAGAATATCCCTCAATCTGAAGGTGTATGATGTCATCCCAGGACTGGAGTACAGTTATGCATTTTTGTCAAGAATACTACAGAAATCATGTCATGTCCCTTCTAATTACTACTTTTAATTGTAAACACTTCTTTCACTGACTGATATTGGGCTACCAAATGCTCAAATCTTGAAGGCTTTATTTGTAATGTGCTTTTATTTATTTATTTATTTAAAGAAAGACTGCCTTTAGTCAATCATGACTAAGATTTTCAAAAGTAGAGACTAGATTTCAGTTATAAGGTTTCCCCAGTGGGAAACCAGTGAGGCCCAGTTGGGTCCCTCACCTTGGATTCTTATCAAAGTGGGTCAAAAATGAAACGGAGTGCAGCCTATACCTCATCTTCATTCCAGGCAGAAGGTGGGAGTAAAAAGAATATATATCCAACTGCCTCTGCAAGCTTTGTTCTCCAGTTACATCTCTGCGAGAAATGATGGCACTCTTAAAAGGAACAGAAAGACCTCGGCAAAGGCATGAAGACGGCCTATAAAGTGTGTGCTGTGTGTGTGTGTGCCGTGTGTGTGTGCGCATGTGCATGTGTGTGTATAGCTGAGGCATGACTCCAAGCAGACAGCCCTCCATCTGATAGATGTCTGAATCGTCAGTTACCCAAGTCCCAAAATATAAATATAGAGCAAACATCTCTTTCAAGCCGCTAGGTACTCTTCATTTTGAAACACTTCCCAGTTTCCCTTCTGTATAAGGATGGCACTTAACTGATTAATCGAGTAGCCTGTATAATTAACATTAAAAACATTATGATTCCTTTAAAAGAGAATCCTCTCTCTCTCAAAACGTTTTGCCTTGCAGATGGAATCAAGTACTTAGAACACCATCCCCAGGCAGCACCAGGGCCCTCCTGAAACAGCTCCTTGAATGGTATCAACAGGAAATACCTCCTCAAGTGTCAGTTGCAGAACCAGAATGTGGCCTAAAAGAAGGCTGAAGCCTCTATTAACACTCTTGATATTCTAAACAGGTCTGTGCTTTGACATATGACTTCTACACACTGAAAAGAGAAGAAACTGAGAAGAGGGATCAAAAGCTAGAGCAAAAGATTTCCTGAGATCTTTATCCACTCTGAATCTCCCTTCTTTAGATAAGAGCTCGCGGCAGAGGAAAGAGAAGAGTGAGAATTTCTAAAGAAAACAGCTTTCTGTTCCTGCTCATCCCATATACCTGATGGAGTTGTAGACTACGTGGGACTTAACAGGTTTGCTTCTCTTCTTCCCTGCTTTGTCTCCAGCTCTACATAAGACAAATTTTGTGATGCCAGATTTACTCAACGCTGGAGCAATGCCATGGTGAAGAAGTCTGGGAATTCAGTTACGGGTATGGACTTACATCTCTCTCATTAAATTAGGGCAGGGCGTCTCATCCTCAGCTCTGTTAATATTTTGGGCTAGATCATTCTTTGTTGTGGAGGACTGTCCTGTGCTTTATGTTTATGGCGTCCCTGGACTCCTCCCACTAAATGTTAACAGCACACTCCCCCTGTCCCAAAGCCTAACAATCAAAATTGCCTTCAAACATTGCCAAATATTTCCAGGGAGAAGGAGACCCATTCCTGGCTGGGAATCAACCACCTCTGTCCTAGATCAATTTCTACGAATTTAAAGTGGTTGAGTATCTGTGTTTATGTGTAGAAAAAAAAAAGGAAGAAAGAAAAAGGAATGGTGGGTATTTAAGTGAAAAGAAAGACATTTACCTCTCTGCTTTAAAATGTACCCCATTCCAGTGGAAGTCACAAATTTGAAATTATCCTGGTGCCTTTAAATACCCAATTTATCATCTCCACTGAAAAGACATTTGCATTGGCTAGATAAATTGTGAGGATAAACATATTTGGTAAGACGTGGTCAACCATGAGAGCATGAGCCTCCCAAAGGAGGTTGAGGGGATCCAGCAAATGCTTTTAGGCCACCCTAAAGTCTCAAGGTACAAAAGAGAAAGAAAACAGGGGTAGTGCATGCTGATTATACTGTCTGGGGAGGGCTCAACCTGGAAAGATAAGGTGAGGATCGAGGAAATGGTGCAGGCTCAATGGGATGCACTCTGGATTCTTGTGCCCCTGAGAGTCTGATTTGAGTGTCTTTTACCAGGATCCCATAATTAACTGCATTTTACAGTTCCTTCTTCCATATCAAACTATAATAATACAAAAACAGCTAACATTTATTCTGTGTCAAACACTGTCCAGTACTTGAATCAACAGGAATAATCCAATTCAATCCTCACTGCTCTACTGAACAATTTTAAAGGGGAAGCAACAGGGCAGGAGGAGGTTGAGTCTCTTGCCTCCTATCTCACAGCCAGTAAGAATGAGAGCTGGGACATAAACCCAGAAAGGCAGCCTCAGAGCCCTGATCACTTAGCTAATCATTTATACTGCGTCAACTGAACTTAATCATCATTCAGTTTTTCTTATACCAGAGAGCCAATGGTAAAAAGTAAATAAAAAATAAGCAGAGAATACAGTGGACAAAAACTACCCCTCCCCCCAGTTACCCAATTCCACACATTACCAATTTATTTTCCTCAAAAATACAATATTGTATAACATTAAAAATAAATGCCAAAGGCAACCCATAACCCATCCTATAGTATTTTTCTTTTCCGACAGCTATCTAAAAGTAAGAAATGCTGCAAATGCCCAGAAACAACAGAATCAACAGCCATACAGTCACTACTATAGTTAAAATAAGATTCCGTATTTTGCTATGTCTATATTTTTTTGCTACTATATTTAAAATATGATTTCATATTTTTCTATTTCTGTATCAGATGTTTTAAGATATGACATCTTATGAGTAAAGCTAAAAATGTATCCACACTGATCTGCTGGTCCTATTCATTCATTTTAGCAGTTGCATGGTCTCCCAAGGTATGAATAAACAACATCAAATTCACCTACTGCCTGGTGAATGTCATTGAGGCTGTAGCCAGTTTTCCGCTTACAAACTGCTGTTACAAATATTCTTGTACATGTCACCCAGGTTACATGTATCAAAATTTCTCTAAATTACAAATGAAATTACCTGATCCTAACAGCATAGAAATCTTCAACTTTACTGAATATATACAGCTCCCCAAAATGGTTCTACCAATTTACTCCTGCCCAATGGCTCTTCAAAAAAAAAGAAAAAGAATCACATTTTTTACAGCTCGAATTCATTCTTACACTCTGATGGGCCTGACCCACAATCAACTCTTTAGATTTTTTTCTAGATGGATCTCAAAGGTAAAAGGTAATTTCAAGGAGAGCATCTTCCTATCCAAATGTAGTGGTTTTAAAAGGCTGGGTATTTTACTTTGATGGCCATGACTTCTGGATTCTTCTGGGAATATATGGACTGGACATGTAAAAGAGTCATATCCAAACTGGCCCAAAGATTGCTTACCTTTCAAAAAGAGCACACTAGCACAGCTCACTAAGGCAGATGGCTTCAAAAGCTCCCTAAGTGAAATTGCTGGAGATTTCTAAGAGAAATCCCTAAAACAGAACTGAAACCCTTTCCATATACATGACAATACACTGTACAAATGGTCATGAAAAAAAAAATTGTGATTAATATTGAGTGAGCACTTACTCAGGGTCAGGCAACACAAGCACTACCTATCTCATCTTATTGCATCGGCAAGCCATTCTCAGAGTTATGATTCCCACTTTACAGATGGGGAATTTGGAGTTCGGCCAGACAAAATAAGTAACTTGTCCAAGATCACAAGTTACTGAGCCTAAGAGCCAAACACTAGAACCAATTCATTCTGACTCCAGAACCAACGTTCTTTCTCCTTTTCATTTTTGAAGAGGCTGGTTCTCACTATGTTGCCCAGACTGGAGTGAAGTGACTATTCACAGGTGTAATCACAGCACACTCAAGTGATCCCCTGCCTCAGCCTCCTGAGTTGCCAGAACTCCAGGTGCCCAACGCTGCACCTGGCCAGAATCAACATTCTTATTGTCTTTCAAACAGTAGCTGTAGTAGAGAAGCTATCCTTCAGTGAAAGTACACGTTACTTTCAACAGGAAATATATTTATTTGGCCCAATCCTTTCCATAACAAGACATTTTGAAAAGTGTTTCCCTTACTGAGATTTCAACAGTCAATGGAATATATGAGAAGAGCTCTGTTATCCTAGAAGGAAGCACTGCTGCACTGGTTAAAAAGAATAGAGCAAGCAGGTATTTCAGCTGTTGAGAGCTTTGGCTCTGAGCTTGGCTTGGAGAAGGACATTCAGCTCTAAAACACAGATCCCTGGATTCTTAATGCCTACGGCCTTAAATGTTAAATAGTCTTGCTGAGAAACACTAAGAAAGAGAGAGGGAGCAACTGATCTCCTTCAAAAGGGAAGGCAAGCAGGCCGTGTTGCCTGGGAGCTGCAATTCCAAAAGGCCTTGTGATTTCCAGGTCCTGCTTCCCTGACTACCAAAGCTACAACCCCCAAATCAAAGGGAAGTGGAACCCAAGATGAGTTCTAAAATATAAAACTAAAGAGAAACAAATCTTCACATCAACAAAACTTTCCTCTTTTCATGGAAGCTACTACAGATTTTGTCATACTACATCAACCATGATCCAACAGGGCCCAGAGGATGAACTTTTTCCTATTAGAATCAAACACTCAGGGAGAGTCAGCAGTTTTATGCTTTTAAACAGTAAAAGGGGCCGGGTGTGGTAGCTCATGCCTATAATCCCAGCATGTTGAGAAGCCAAGGTGGGAGGATTGCTTGAGACCAGTAAGACCCCATCTCTCCAAAAAAAAATTTTTTTTAATTAGCTAGATGTGGTGACATGTGCCTTGGTCCCATCTACTTGGGAGGCTGAGGCAGAATGAACACCTGAGCCCAGGAGGTTGAGGCTGCAGTGAGTTGTGACTGTGCCACTGCACTCCAGCCTGGGTGACAGACCAAGACCCTGTCTTAAAATATAACATTAACATAACATAACATAACATAACATAACATAACATAACATAACATAACATAACATAACATAACATAACACAACACAACACAACACAACACAACACAACACAACATAACATAACATAACATAACAGGGAATGTAGGGAAAATGGAATACTGAATGGGACCTTCAAGACACTCTGGTGATTGCCCCTTCATTCTAGAAAAAAGAAACTGAGGCACAGAGAGACTGACAGTCTAAACAAACAATTCTCATCAGTTTTTCCTGAAACCCCTGATTCGAATATTCATCTGTAAGTAACTCACTCTACCCCGTTGCTGATTTCTAAGCAGTGATTTCTGAAAATTTCTTAGTAATATTCATTAATTGAGCTTTTAGTAAATGACCTAATTTATTTCATAGAAAGAAGCCTAGTATGACGCAGTTATTATTACTATGAATGCCTCTATTTTATTCAACATTTCAATAGAACTTTACCATTTATACAGACAACACTTACACAGATTTTGTTACCAATTGATGCTCAAAACTGGGAGGTAATCATTACTTTTCCTACCCAACAATGGGTGCGATGGCTCATGCCTGTAATCCCAGCACTTTGGGAGGCTGAGGTGGGTGGATCACCTGAGCTCAGGAGTTCGAGGCCAGCCTGGCCAACATGGTTAAAAAAAAAAAAAAAAAATCCATCTCTACTAAAAATACAAAAAAAAAAAAAAAATCCATCTCTACTAAAAATACAAAAAAAAAAAAAAAAAAAAAAAAAAGCTAGGTGTGGTAGTTCATGCCTGTAGTCCCAGCTACTCGGGAGGCTGAGGCAGGAGAATTGCTTGAACCCAGGAGGTGGAGGCTGCACTGGAGCTGAGATCATACCATTGCACTCCTGGGCAACAGAGTGAGACTCCGTCTCCAAAAAAAAAAAAAAAGAATAATTTTTCCTAGTTGACAATGGAAATATTAGCATCAGGAAAGTATGTTATGTACCAAAACTTATTTTTATATAGTTCCCCAACAGAAAAGCTAGGAAACATAATATTTTATGCAATAGCATCTATGTACCCTTTTGTCCTAAGGTCACAGAAACAATAATGCTGGGCATTTCATACCACTATAGACTAAATGTTTGTGTCCTCCCACAATTCATATCTTGAAACTTAAGCCCCAAGGTGATGGTACTGGGAGGTGAAGACTTTGCCAAGTGAAAGCTCAATATGCAGTGATGAGGACAAGTCGAAGGGGGAGGGGACGTAGGGTGATGGGGTCATGGTGGCACTAGGTATATAGGATGAGAGTCGAATCACAAGAAGGAGCATTTAGGTGACGTAGTCAAGAATGGCACCCAGGACCAGGTGCAGTGGCTCACACTTGTGATCCCAACAGTTTGGGAGACTTAGGCGGGTGGATCGCTTAAGCCCAGAAGGTTGAGACCAGCCTGGGAAACATGGGAAAACCTCATCTCTGCAAAACAAAACAAAACAAAACAAAACAAAACAAAAAATTAGCCAGGCAGGGTGGCGTGCACCTACGGTCCCAGATACTCGGGAGGCTGAGGGGGGAAGATCAGTTAAGCCCAGGAGGTTGAGGCTGCAGTAAGCCATGAATGCACCACTGCACTCCCGCCTGGGTGACAGAGTAAGACTCTGTCAGACAAAGAGGTGAAGGGAGGGGAGGGGAGGGGAGGGGAGGGTTAATGAATGGCATCCAGGGATTCTGGACAAAGCACAGACAACTTTGGAATGTTCGCAGGGTAAACACATTTCAGAAGCCACTGGAGCCATCTTGAAACGTGCAACCACCTGACTGAAAAGCAATATTCATTCTGGGTCATGACATTTTTTAAGTCATGCAGCCAAAATAATGAAACATGACTTTATTTCTCACAAAGATCTGCACACAGTTTGCAGGCAAGATGGTCTTTCATTCTGTACTTCTTACAAAAGAGGGCCACACCCAAGGATTTGTACCAAGATGCTCTTGAGCCAAAATAGAAATTAAATTATAAATTTCATGGAAATGCTTCAGAGAAGTTGGCAATCTCTAGGTAGAGGGAACTGGATGCTGCTCCCTATTTGAATCCAGTCCCTCCAGGTCAGCCTCATTGATGGAGATGCAACTGATGGTAAAGCTGGACCAATAGCAAATCCCTCAGAGTTAAAATAAAATCAGCAGGAGATTAGACCATGGGGAACGGCAAGTGAAATGCCGTCCTCCTAATGCTTTATGAAGCGTGGAAACTATGGAGAAGACCAGACTCACTCACCAAAAAAAAGTTATTAGAAGTGACTAGTCCAAAGACCAGAAAATCATACAATTCTACCAAAATCTTCAAAAAAAAAAAACACCCTTCTGAACAAGTCATCAAATCAGACCTTGTTATAAATGCGCACATTGAATTAAACATGAGACCATTTTAGATACAAAGACCAATGCCCAAAGGAGTTCCAAATAACATGAGAACTAGAGAGCCTGGACTTAGAAACCTTGAGAACTGTAAGAAACAGCATTTGACCACAACCCTGGAGAGTTTGCTTTATTTGTGCTGACTCAAACAAAAAAACTGTCCCATTACACAGAATTTTCTGTAACAAATTACCCTAAGGGTGATTCTATAAGCCAAGTGTGTTCACTTTGCCCAACAAAACCTTTAAAATCAAACTCACACAAGGAAAATTTAAAAGGAGGAAGAAAAGAGATTGGAAGGGGGAAAGTGAACAAGGAAAGGCAGAGGGAAAGAAGGCAGAGTGTTGAATGCCCAGGCTCAAGGCAGGTTGGACGCAGTGCATCAGGCAGCAGAGAGGCCAGGGAGCTGGGGGCAGGGGGCAGAGGGCAGGAAAATGAACTCAATGAGATAACCAGGGACAAGATGATATGATGCCTTTCTTCTAGCACTCAGGGATTTCGGAATCAAATCTGAGAGAGGCAAGAAATTGTGAGAAGATTGTAAGCAGAGATGAAACAGAAAAGATACCTGAAACTCTGATCTTGGAGCTTTTCTTCCGTGATATAAGATCTAACAGGGTCCACTGCATAGAGCTGTTGTGAGGATGACAAGAGATCACTAACACTGTAAACTCTCAATCCACAGCCTTCACATAACTGGGTCTCAAGACATGCCCTCTCCCTTCTCCTCTGCACTTCTTCATGTGTTTAAGGGAGAATGTGGGGAGGGGCTTATGTAAAATAGGGGACTACAGGTATCAGACTGAACCAATCCTACTTGTTGAACTTTATCTACTGGATGGCCAAGGTTATAAGGAACACCACCACCTTCTCATGCCCTGGGTGCCCTAGAGAAAGGTAAGCAGACCAAGGTCTCAGACTCCCTGTGGAAGAAAGACCACTGCACCCAAGCTTTACAAACGCATCCCTGGGCCCCACACACCACATGAGACTCTAGGCTTCCCTCACCTTACAAAGGTTAAGGTTGTCTCTGCAAACTCAATTTTGAGTTCCGTAAGGGACGTCCTATGTCCTCTATCTCTGAAACTGCATTGCTAACTGGATGCAAGATAAACGCTCAGAGTATCTATAAAGAAGAGAGGGAGAGAGGGCTGCAGAGATGGAAAAGAGGTACAGGGTGAAGAGCTTAGATTGTCAAGAGATAGGAACCATGCCCTGAGATCCCATTTTTGCCACTCACTAAAATGTGTGACTTTGGGTACTTCATTTTACCTTTCTGGGCCCTCAACTCCCCTATTTTTTCAAGTTAATAAATGTGAAGGGCTTAATGCATGCCTCAAAAAAAGCAATGAATCAATAAAGTTATTATTATTGTTAAATAAAAAGGAGGGAAAGAAGAGAGGGGAAAAGACTCGCCTTGGAATGGTGATCAACTTCAGCTACACACACATAGCCTCTTACACTAACCAGTTACCCAGCGGGTACCTCCTTCCCTTGGCTTTTTGCTTCCATCAATTACCCATTTAACCATTCTCACTTCAGGCAACCAAGTCAGCTCAATGGGGGCTGCTGGTATGGCTCCACATGCAATTGCTCCTTGGCCATGGAGGAGGGCCGCAGGTTCTGGGAGGCAGGGGGTATGATGCCATGCCAGGCACCCAGTGGGGCCGCCATCAATGCCTGCTGTTGCTGAATCATAGCGACAAGAAAACTCTGTTCTGCTCCAGAAGGAACTTCTGGGGCCAGGAGGCCATCTGGTACTGATCCCTTTCCAATCCCGGGCAATCTGATGAAGAGCTACTCCTGGCTGGAAGGATGATGTTCTACCCCGCCAACAAGAAGCCTTGAAACTCCTGTCAAACCCTTCCCTGAACTCAGGCTCTAGCACTCCTGTGGTCTCTCTTCCGTTGCAAACACAGACGTTGTTAGAATAAAAGCAACCACTTTGGCCGGGTGCGGTGTCACATGCCTGTAATCCCAGCACTTTGGCAGGCCAAGGCGGATGGATCACGAGTTCAAGAGATCGAGACCATCCTGGCCAACATGGTGAAATGCCATCTCTACTAAAAATACAAAAATTAGCTGGGCGTGGTGGCACATGCCTGTAGTCCCAGCTACTCCAGAGGCGGAGGCAGGAGAATCGCTTGAACTAGGGAGGCAAAGTTGCAGTGAGCTGATACCGTACCACTGCACTCCAGCCTGGTGACAGACCAAGACTCCGTCTCAAAAAAAAAAAAAAAAAAAAAAAAAAAAAAAAAAAAGAGCAAACAGTTCCAAAGCCAGGGAAGCTCTGTGTAAGTGTAATTTTTACAGAAAGGAGCTATGCTCACCTCTCTCCCCCACATCCTAGCCAGGTATTCTAGAATGGGGACTTGCCCTTGCTTTCTCCTTCTGGTTCTCAGCCACAGCCTCAACCCTACTCCAGCCTGCACAGTGGGGTCAGAAGTTTCCAGTTCCTGATTAGCACCACCTCTGGCCCTTCTGTAAGCCTAGAGGTAGAGAAAATGATCATGGTCACGTGCAAACAGAAGCATGTGTTACTGTGGGCAAAATGAAATCATCTGTATCAGGATGGGAAAAGGGAAGTGCAGGTATTTAATATGCAGCGTAATATAATAAAATTATACCTGTGCAAGTAGTTGAGACAGCATCCCTGAAGAGTGAACAGATCAATGTCAGCCCATTCCTGGATGCAGGAGGACCGGTGCTGCATGACTTATCCATATCACATATGAGCAGGCACAGAGGAGTTCCCTGGTTCAATTATAAAACTGTCCCACAGGAACCTTCCCAGTATCCTCACGCTGGCCCTTCAAAGGAGTTAAAGATTCTATCTGTAAACAAGCCAGAGCCCCTCTGACTGGCAAAGGAAGCCTGTCTCAGCATTGACTTCACTATGCAGACTTGTGGCAACAGCCTATAGGATGATAATTAGATGTCAGTGCCTTTTGAGCAACTGCTGAATCTCAGCATTTTCTAGAAGAGTACAGATGCAGCTGGCAGAAAATAAAGAGCAGCACAACACCACAGGCCTTCTGGGGTTGCTCCGGCTGTGTGGCCATCAGAGGAAATACATTTTCTAGAGCAGTGGGCTAGGAAATCTGAAGTTATTTATGAAGAGAGGAAGAAGAACTTGGCCAATGAGAAGACAAAGGGGCTCTGTCATGCTCATGTGGTGTAAGCAGCTTGCTGCCACCTGCCCTGTCGGCAGGTGGAGAGACCAAGGCCAAGAAAGAATGATTTCATTATGACCAGGTATCGGGCCATCCATATGAAGGTAGTACCCTTAATTCGACCTACTCCCTAGCTTAGGGTGATAGGGAATGATGCACAGTTGGTACAAACTTGGGTACTAGGTCAAGGTTATCTGAGTTCAAATCTTAGCTTCACCATTTACAAGACACATGCTTTGGACTCAGAACTCTAATATCCCGTTTCCTCAGCTAGAACAAGTAAAAAATAACAACACATTCCTTGTGGGATTTTTGGAGAATTAAATGAGACGCTCAAACAAGGCCTCACATGTAGCTCTCTAACTGGTAGCTGCTATTATTACTGCTGTTGTTGTCACTATTGTTGTGGGGGTTTGGCATGGGTGGCTAGAGTTGAGAGCAAGGAGTGACTGACAGCATTCTAATAAGCCCAGTATTAACCCCACAAATATCCAAGGCATTTCTCTCCTGGCCACATACCTAAAGCAACTCCCCAGTTTGCTCCTGGACAAAAATACCATCATCCCCATTAATCAGCAAAAATGACTTCCAGTCTCCAGAAACCCAAACACAGCCAAGTGCTTGAACATGCAGCCTAGGAACAGGCAAAACATAAAATGGTCTCTGAGCACGTGAGCAAGGGAATGAATGACTGAATGTGACCCCATGACAGTGGCATGCTGGCATGGTGGGCCTTCCTGAGACATTGAAATATCATGACAGAGCTTCCCCTGGACCATTTAAATAGAAGTGGGGAGAGGAACATTGTGGAGCAATCTGGGAAGAATGAGAGAACAGATACCACACATTACGAGGAGATGGAACCCCTGGTCTTCCATGCCTCCTTCTCAGCATATTCCTAAATTGTGGTCTCTTCTCAATTTCCAAAGCACAGATGTTGAAGTGAAAACCTTAAAACGCCTGTGTTATTGGAATGCTCCAGGTGGCTGGTGAACCGGATTTAAAGACAGCAACAGCAGCCAGAGAATTATAGCTACAAGGTAAAAAATTAAGAGCTGAAACAAATTCAGTTCACCATGCAAAGCTGAACTTGATCGTTTATTAAAGAAAGATCAAGGGACAACCAAATGACTCTGGTTTCCTAATCCCCCTGGGATTTGCCTTAATTCTCCCAAAATCCTTGAATGCTCAGTTCCGTTACTTTGCTTGCAGTTGGAGAGAATTAGAAGCCCGGGATTCTCCATACTCAGCGATCGGGACACAAGGAGAAGCACTGTCCCCTTATCCACCTATCATACATGGGCATCGTTAGAGATCAATGCCACAAGACAAAGTCTTGACATTTCTGTGAGATATTAGGACACTTGTGTCTCCTGGGGTACATATAGAAATCCTGGGTAAATAAGGGTAAAATGATACAAAAGGTTCTACTTATACAGCAGGGAGAATTCTTATTACCCTAGGTGACATTTATTGAGAATTATCCATGACAGGTTCAAAGAGAGGATTTTGAAGGGATTGTTTGACTGTGTTCTCCTAATAACCCAGGAGGTAGGTAAGGTATTTTTACTCTCCCCATTGTACAAATGTGAAGAGCTGTGGATTCACAAGTTAAGTGACTTGCGTAAAATTCCCTAACTTAGGAGAGGATAAGATCCAGGGCTGGACCTCAAAGCTATCTGGCTCCAGCACTATTCTCCTCAACCAGCATGAACTTAACCTTGGGTAACTTGTTCAGAATTGATGTTGTTAAAAGAGTTCTGCTAAATACATAGAACAACACTGACGTTCATACTAGGTCATTCCCTCAACCTGCTGAACTGTCTCTTTTCTATGGAAAGTGGGAAAAGGTTGAACTGCACATTCAAAGGTGGCCTTACCTTTGACCAGCTTAAATGGTATGTTCAGAATGCTATGACAACCTGGAAAACACACTGAAGTCACCCAAGGCTTGCAAGGAGCAGCAGGGAGCAGAGCCCTGTCTTAGGAACTCAGAGTCATATTGCCCAAGGTAACACAGGGGCTCCTGAGGCCCACACTGAAAATCTGGAATAATTGCTTTGCATAGCAAATAAGCAGAAAAGGCAAGGGGAAATGAAGGCATCCTTCACCCATTACAAATTCCTGTCCTGTGGACACTTGACATCTGAGAGAAGGCCAGGAATTAAGTCTAGGCTACTGGGATCTGCAGCTACGCACACATTCTAATTGCCTTGCTCCCAAAGTTTAAGCAATTCAATTTCCACTAGTTTTTTTTCCCTATCTAATACTATGAAAATGCTCAAACATAAAACAAAGTTGAAGTAATTTTAGAGCAAATGCCTATATACCTACCCACCACCTAAATGCTCTCATGAACATCTCCAAGGAAGGCATACAGGTGAGGCAGATGACACTGATCCTCCTTAAAGAAGAGGAGTGAAGAAAGGAGATTTCACTGTCTCAGTCCAAGACAATCCACTGCTCAAAGAGGGGGAAGCCCCGTCTGGGTCAGGCCCTAAGCACTGGCAGCCCAGAGAGACATTCAGCTGGTTCCTTTCATTAGACAAGCAGTTCCTGGGTCTGCACATCCTTGTGCAGTGCATTCAAGACAACTGCACTGCATAATCAATCTCTCTTCAGAAAAAGGTGCCAGGTCTTACAGTTCGCCCTCATAGATTTTATTGACTGTTAAACCTAGATGAGAGTTTAGGCATCATCTACTGAAATCTGCTCGTTTGCTTTTATACTTGAGGCAATTAAGACCCCACAAAGTTAAATGTCATGCCCAATGTCACATAGTAGGAGGGACTTGGAACCTTCCGATAAACCACTCTGAGTCTTTGCAGATATACTAAGTAGGCTGACATCAGACAGACACTAAGAAAACAAGAGAGAACTCCCTGAAATAGATTTTTACAAGCAGGTCTGGAAAACAAAGTCCAGAAGAGTGAAAGGGAACTGTATGCAGCTACTCTTTAAGTCTGAGTAACATCAGGCCGGGCACGGTGGCTTACACCTGTAATCCCAGCACTTTGTGAGGCCTGGGCGGGCAGATCACCTGAGGTTGGGAGCTCAAGACCATCCTGACCAACATGGAGAAACCCCGTCTCTATTGAAAATACAAAATTAGTGGGCGTGCTGGGCGTGGTGGTGCATGCCTGTAATCCCAGCTACTCGGGAGGCTGAGGCAGGACAATTGCTGGAACCCAGGAGGCAGAGGTGGAGGTTGTGGTGAGCCAAGATCACGCCATTGCACTCCAGCCTGGGCAACAACAGCGGAATTCCATCTCAAAAAAAAAAAAAAAAAAGTCTGAGTAATACCTACATTAGAAATAATCTTTAATACTAGTTATGGTTCCTTGGCCAAAGGAGGCCACTACACTACATGACAACTTCCAAAAGTTTCAATAAATGTATTATACCAGCGGTCCCCCACCTTTTGGGCACCACAGCCTGGTTTTGTGGAAGACACTTTTTCCAATAGGCATTAGCATCTCTTAAGGAGCAAGGAATCTAGACCCCTGGCATGAGCAGTTCACAACAGGGTTCGCGCTCCTGTCAGAATCTAATGCCACCACTGATATGACAGGAGACGGAGCTCACTCATAGCTGCTCACCTCCAGCTGTGCAGCCCAGTTCCTAACAGGCCAGGGACCGGTACCAATCCGTGGAGTTGGAGACCCCTGTATTATTACATGATGATACAACTTGCACACAAATGTTTACCATTTTCACCTCTGCTTGTGTCATATCTTAATTCTGCCCCCATAAGGTTCTTTCAATCTAATTTCACAACTCATAATGCATCTCTAAAACAGCAGTATTTCGCCACCATTGGGATGCATGGCAGAAAATTTAAATAGTGCAATCAAACCCACGGGCATCGGCATGCATTAAGTGCCCTACTGTAGCAGTGACTGCTGAGGAATGCCCCCATGCCAGTTGAAGAAACTCTGCATTGATTGAATATGCTAACACATGTCCTCCTTCTCCCATCTCTGACTAATTAACACCACTCTAGGCCTTCCTATCAGGCTTGTGAAAACTATTGTGACTGATCTGGGCTCATCTAGAGCTGAAAATTACTTTGCCAATAGCAGAGAACAGTACTTTCTGCATAAACAACAACAAAGACAAGCCTCTTAGGTGGCCCCTGCTTCATTGTCTTTTATGTGAAGCACTTCTCCAAAGCTTTGAAGACAAAGGACAGGACTCTAATAACAGGGAACTGTGGCAAGACAGCAAAAGGAAGACAGCATTTTCTGCCCTCTAGGACTTCCTCCTACAATGATATCTTTGATCAATGCCTTCGTGGGATTTTGTTTTTGGCCCCCAGCTTGACAAAAGCTTTGAGAAGCAGTGACTGTGCCAATTTTTTTTTTCCCCACTAAGAAAAAGCTACTCATTGGAGACTCTGGAGAACAACAATCATAGCAAACGACCTCCCTTTACACCTTGTGTGACTGAAACTATCATAATACAGGCTCAGCTTCCTAAACGATCTTCTTAAAGTAACATTCTATATTTTTAAAAATTGGCAATAAAAAGAAACCAATGATTGATATCTTCAACAATTTGGATGATTGTCCAGAAAACCAGACAATTAAAAAAGCCAATCCTAAAAAGCTACTTACTCTATGATTCCTTTTATACAACATCTTGAAATGACAGTTTTAGAAATGCAGGATAAATTAGTGGTTGCCCGGGTTGGGGACAGAGATGGGGACAGGGAAGGGGGGTGGCTGTGGCAACCCTGCCTGTGGTGCTGGACTTATTCAGAATCTTGACTGTGGTGACGGATACATGAATCTACACCAGTGATAAAATTGTGTAGAACTTAATACACACACACCCTGGGAAAAGTATAAAAGGGACCTCTCTGTATTATTTTATACAACTGCATGTGAAACAACAGTTACCTGAAAAGCTTTAATTTTAAAAAATGGGCTAGGCGCAGTGGCTCACACCTGTAATCCCGGCACTTTGGGAGGCTGAGGCGGGTGGATCACTTGAGGTCAGGAGTTCGAGACCAGTCTGGCCAACCTGCAGAAACCCTGTCTCTACTAAAAATACAAAAAAATTAGCCGGTGAGTGCTGGTGCGTGCCTGTAATCCCATCTACTCCAGAGGCTGAGGCAGTATAATCATTTGAACCTGGGAGGCAGAGGTTGCAGTGAGCCAAGATTGTGCCAGTGCACTCCAGCCTGGGCAACAAAGCGAGACTTCGTCTCAAAAAAAAAAAAAAAAAAAAAAAAGGAACAAAAACAAAAAAAAGCACAGCTATTATCCTTCTATGCCTGGGGAGAAAAGTCATGTATTTTTTTTCTCATCAAACAATGGCTTTCACGGGCTGGGAAGGAAGCATGTAAGGGTCTGTGATAGGTGAAAGGACAAAATCAATTCTCATTAAGATGGAATAGCATGACTAGGGGACATATTAAAATTTAGGGGAAGGATTCCCTTCTTAGTGCAGCACTCTTACTATCAACTGTTTCAATTTCATATCCAACCCTGAGGAATTACTTTTCACTCTGAAATGTACATACAATATTTCCTCTTCTGTGTCTCAACATCTTTAGTAACAGGACTAAGCAATCACACGTGATTTTATGGATTGGTGTACAAACAGGAATCCCTCAGTGTTTCCTAGAGTTTACTAAATTATAAAGGAAATATAATTAATACATGATATATTCTATTGATCACAATAAAGGATGTCACAAGAGCAGTTGCTTATGAAAGAATAATGAAACACTGGTTTACTGAGCATCTATGTGCCATGGATTATATTAAGTGCTATAAATATACAGCAGATGGGAGAGTTTATGTTGTAATGCGGAAGAAAAACAAGAAAAGAAACAATAATTACCACACAGTTTAAATGTTGTGGGCAGCAGTATTTTATTAATTAAAATTAGGCCAACAGAAAGGTAATTTTGAAAGAGTCTCTCCTAAGACTTGGGTTCAGGTCATAAGTTCTCCAGCAGTTCAATATGGGGGTCATTTGCTTGCCTTTCTGTAACTCAAGTTCCTTGCTCATAAATAACAAACAAACAACAATGACCAAAAAAAAAAAAACTATGGACTATCAAACCAAGATCTCAAATAAGAAACTCTCCTTGTGTCAATTGTCCTGGGGGCTCATAGAATTTCGCTTAAACAAATTTTTCCAAAGCCAAAGGAAGGAACAAAAGGGGGACAGAGGCATAGGGGGAAGAAAGTTCATGTCAGCTCTGATTTTCCCTTGTGGTGATATTCCATGATTTTAGATAAAGGGTAATTCAAAATTAGACCCGGGTTTGAATCTCAGCCCTGTGACTTACTAACACCGTGACATTAACTATTTAATAATCCTCCTTGGGATATAATGTCCTAATTCCCATCATTTTATGGATTAAAGAAAGAAAATAACCTAAGGTCTTTCATATCTAACATATAATAGGTTTGTAATAAATGACCAATGAATGGTATTCTCATTATAAAGAACCCCAGCATTAATAAAAGCTTTAAAACATTACTATATAGTTAAAGCACATATACTTTGAAAAGGAGTGACACATCATTCCTTTTGAGAGTCTCCACTAGATTAAGCTTTATTTTGCTTAAAGTCTTAAAAAAATCAACTCCTAAACAAGTCAGAGACACAACTACAAAAATAAAAATATTCACTCAGCAACTTTTTGTCTCCATCTCCTCATTCTTTGATCATGCTCTGCATACTTAAAACATTGGAAGTGCTATTTACTCAAACAGGAAGAAAACGGAGAGCATTTATTTTTTCAATGTATGGGCAGAGAGTTTATTAAAAGGAGTTTGTAATAAACTAGTCTCTTATGCTAGCTCTAAGCACCATGGTTATAATCTTTAAATTTCAACTTACAGTCTTCTCCAAATACACACTGAGGCATCATAATTAAAAGTTTAAGAGTTTTTAAAAGAAAAGAAGGCATTGAGCTGCCCTATTTTCAGCTACCCTCAATTGATATCTCATGACCTGTTTTCAACAGAAGTCATATTTATTATAATAGTGTTTCTTAAGTACTAATAGAGACTAAACATCCATTTACTTGTTTTAAAAAATACATACAGAACACCTAATATTCCAGAAAAGCTTTAAAAAAATGCCTTTTTCTATAATGCATTGAAAAAATAATTGACATCAAAGTTAATCTGGTTTAATCCCACAATTATATGACATCTCTATTATAAATACTATATTGATTGCAGGTTTGTTTTGCAAAGCAAATGGCAAATTTATGCTCATTTTTAAAAATAAAATTAGCTTTAGAAGGACTGTTAAAGCAGAATATGCTTTTTTAAGAGAAATAAAATGAAGAAGTTGGGAATACTGTTAATAAAAAACGATTGAAATACATTCACTTATAAAACTGTCTCCATCTACTTTCTGAACTAGGCTTCTGGTAGTAGTGTGCCACCTATTGTTGTAAAATGTACTTCTGTATTTGTGGCTTTCCTATTCAGTACTATAGAAAAGAAAAGCTTCCCACTGCCTTACAAAAGATAATAAACATTTGTTTTCCTTCATGCTTTTCTGTCACTATTCCAACGCCCACAATACAAATGGGCCATAGAGAAAATTACCTTTTAAAAAACTTATTACAACCCATTGAAAACATGTATCAGTTTAAGCCAGTGGTTCTCATACAGGCGGGATTCTGCAATGTCTGGGAGAAATTTCCTGTTGTCAAGATTAAAGACCTGGTGTTAAGAGGGAGGTGTCAGTGACTTCCAGTGGATAGAGGCAGGGATGTTGCTAAATATCAGAGGAGAGCCCCCACAACAAATAATTAGCTATCCCCAATGTCCATAATGCTGAGACTGTGATAGCCCAATTTCACCCACCTTACGTCATTTCTTCCAAAGGAGAAAGAAAGCCATATTTGATTGCAGAAAAAAAATGAAGACGCCAACAACACACACCCAACATTCAACATCAGCATACTAATAAAACATGGATAAAACGTTAGGAACTATATTAGTCTTTGCAGGATTAGTAATTAAACCCATGTTGGTCAGGTAGTCTCAAAGCCTTGTGATATATAGGATCTCAACCCTGACTTTGTGATTGGTCCCCAGGCTGACCTTTTAAACCCTTGAAATAAAATAATTATCGAGTCACACTCAAGAATCATCACTGTCAATACGCTGTGCTGGGGCAAAGGCAACCCATGGCACATGCATCACCACTTAGTTATCTCTCTAGTCTACTCCCTGACCCATCCCATTCATGGCAGACATCATTAATCAATCAAAGTCTCAGATTTATTCACACATGGTGCTGTAGAGAGCCACTACCAGTTGTTGAATGTTGCTGTGGGAGCTGCTGTGTATCTGTCTCCTATGATGGGATATGAATTCACAAGAGGTGGGTTCAAGTCTTGCCTTGGCCACTGGAGGTCTGTATGAACTTGAGCAAGTCATTGAAACTCTCTTGTATTTTCTTCAGTTGTATAAGGATTTTTTAATTCTAAAGATTTTACAATATGAGATTTCTGGAGTGATGAGGCATTGGTTACCTCAACTGCAAAACTGCCAAATACTAAATGAGGCTATGTTGAGAGAGGGGGTAAAAAAAAAAAGATACTAGACACACACAGAAATAGGAAAATAGGATGGGAAATGATCAGAAAAAGAAATAGCCCACATAAAGGGCATTTTTTTTCTTTGAAAATAAAGGAGCCTCATGTAGAGAAAATGCAGTAGAAGACTTGAAAGTCATCAGCTTGAGCGACAGCAGTCAAGACATCATATAGCAGTACTGCTTATGTGACTTTAAATGGTTTACCCTCTGAGGTTCAGTGCCCCAACATACAAAATGGGCTAATTCTACCTGTCCAGTCCTCCTCATAAGACTTTCTAAGCATTAATTACTAATTCTTCAAAGGGCCTCCAAGAGCAGCATAATGAGTAATTTGTGGAACAGCCACCTTATGAAATATTACACAGCTACAGAGTGAATAAGTTAGAGTTGTTTGTTAATGACCTGGAGACATGTTAACAAAACCTGTTCAGAAAAAGCTAGTTGCAGAGGGATGTGTACACTATAGTTCTATATTTATAAACAGTGCAGAAAATGAATCAAAATACGGGAATACACTTGTATGCATGCAATGAGAAAAAAAGTATGGAAGGATATATTTCAAAATGTTTTGGAACCAAGGTTGAGATGGCAAATCAGAAATGATGAAAAGAAGAATGAAATCATGGTGCAAACTGTGGGCTTCGTTTCCATGTAACTGTTTCTTTTGGCTTGTTCTTATGCTAGAGCTTAAAATATAAATTTTGTAATTTCTAAAATACCTTGTAAAATTCTTGGTCTTAGAAAGTAGATCAGTGGTTGCCGGGGCGGTGGGAAATGGGAAGTGGGGAGTGACTGCTCAATGGGTATGAGGCTTCCACTTGGAGTGATTAAAATGTTCTGGAACTAGATAATGGTGATGGGTGCATCACACTGCGAATATACTAAGCGCCACTGAGAGGTACACTGTGGTTAAAATGGTAAATTTTATGTTATGTGTATTTTACAATTTAAAAGACCCTTAGTCTTAATGTTCTACGTAAGTACAAGAGACTGAGGGCATCACACTTGACTGTCACTAGCACCCACCCATCAATATCACTAGCATCCTCCCAATCAATAAGGAAAACATGATGGGAGGAAGGGAAAGTTCTTCTGGAAATAGGAAGAAGTAAAATTTAAGTTATGTGGCCAGAGGGATATAGAGATATCTGTTTCTTCCTAATTCAAGGGAAACCCACTCCCCCATTCCACAACACCTTGACATCTAGTGGCTGTTGCTCCACACTTCCTTGGTTTAATGCCAACCTCCAAGGTCCCAGAGCCCCCCAGCAAGACAGCATTCCAACTACCTCAGGCTTACACCTCAGCAAGCTTCCTAATGTGAGGCCTGAAGCACCAGTAAACCAAGAGTATGAGAAGTACTAAGAGAGAAATAAAAGTAAGAAATTACTATAATTAAATCAGTGCTTTGCTTTTAAAAAAAAAAAAAAAAAAAAGGCCTACCCTTTCATATTATTTTATACCCCTTAGTAAAACATTACAAGACTATAAAGTCTACTTTAACATGAACATTTTAAAGCTATTTTAGAAGCTTTTCTTGAAACTGAGTTTTGAAGTTTTACATGGAAGACCAAAATATAGAAAGTAAAATTTTAGAAGACTCCAAGCAACCACAGAATTCCAGAACACACTTTGAAAACCACCAGACTTGGGCAAGAATCCTGCTGTTTTGGAAGGGGTATGAGAACATCTTTCTCTACACCATGAAAGTCTAGAGGAGATTAATTACAAAACACTGAAGGTACAATCTGCAATGAGATGACTACAAAACCCATGGTTCTGAGAGAACTGCTTGAGGAAGAATTCCTACAAGAAAAGGAAAGGCGGCTAATCTAGAACAAGAGCCCAGTTATGAAAGCTTTCTATACTATTACTTTTACCTTACAGGTGGCTCATGTCTTAAGGTCAGCAGCTGCAATCCCAGAGAGCTTAGTAACACTTTTAGGGACCTAAGTACAAGGCTGGGAACAAAACAGGCAAGGGAAAGGCTTGTTGTCAAACAAGAGAACCACTCAGTAACTGCGTTCACCTTCTGATGCAGTGAAAATAAGAAGAAATTAAATCACAGCCATCTCCAAAAATACTTCATACCACTATAAACCAGCGGCATTCCCTCTACTAGAAAAATTAATGCAAATGTGCGATTTAGGCACCAAAGAAAAAAATGCTAAAACATAGAATTTGGCATCTTAAATTCAAAATTGTAATATGCAATTTTATTAATAAGCCAGCAATATAACGGAACCTTCTCTATCACACTGTCAGCATTATCCTTCTCTAGGACCCTCATATTACAGGTTTTTAGGATATGTGGATCTTCAAATAGCTATAATCTTACCTGATACCTAGTTTAAACCTCAGGTAAGTATTGCCCACTCACATGAGACTGCTCTTCTTACGGGAAAAGACCTTCCTGTATCTCATCTATATCTAGTCCACTAGCACAGTGCTTGATAAGCCAGCAGACTGACAATGCTGCATGTATATTACAGTGCACCAGTACAGTTTCCCTAATAGTGCACGTTTTAAAAAGCATGTATTCATATGTCCATGAATATGTATGTGTACACACTGAACAGGCACAGACCTTAGGAGAACAAACAAAATGGGGTACATAGTTGCAGGAAGGAGAAACAGAGTAAATAGAGAAGACAGAGGAATCAATTTTTTGCCAGGTACTTTACCTGTCTTCCCTTATTAATTTCTCACAGCCTATAGATGAGAATAGGTGAAATCAGACCTATTTTACAGATAAGAAACCGAGGCTCAATGTTTTTATAATTATGGTGAAAACTCAGGGCACTGGTTTAAAGTGAAACCATCCCACCTCAAAGTGGCCTAAACAAAAGAAAACCAAAGGGCAAGGAGGTTATTGTCTCACGTAACTATTCAGGGGGTACATCTGTTGTGCATGTGTGTAGTACTGCTACCTTCTAGCAGCACAGGGCTGCTGTTCTCTCAAGAGATCTCATTCTCTTGCTGTCAACTCAGTTCTGCATTCCAGTGCTGGCTGCACTCTCAAACAGGCCTTTCTCTTTTGAATGGCCACCGGTTCCTCTGAGCTTATGTTCTGAAAAGCACAGAAGCCTCAGCACAGGAAGGACTTTGATGTGGCCATTTGAAGTAAAGCACAGGAGACTTTCATTAGATGGCCATGGCCACATATTCATCTCCAATCCAATCAAAGCAATCTTAACAACCTAAATGACCAGACCTGGGTCATGTGTCCATTCCTAGAGCCCAGAGAAGGAAAACAGCTCACCCCAGAACACATCAACTTGGAGGAGAAAACAAAGGGGTCACAGTGAATTCCCCAAAAGGAATATTTTATGTAAAGACTTTCCTAGCACTCTGCATCTTAGTTGTCATATGCTGTGTAACTAAATCCCCCAAAACTCACTAAGTTAGAACATCAATAAACATTTATTATCTGTCACCATCTCTATAGGTCAGGAATGTAGCAATGGCTTAGCTGTGCAGTTCTGAAACAAGTTTTCTAAATGAGATTGCAGTCAAGATGTCAGCTGGGTCAGCAGTTATCTGAGGCTTAACATGGACTGGAGGATCCATTTCCTAAGTGGTTCAATCACATGGCCAGCAAAATGGTACCAGCTGTTGGTGGAGCCTCAGTTCTTCCCCAGCGTTCTAATGATATTGGAGTGAGCTTGTTCCAAAGGAAACAATCAATAGTAAGCCCAAAGGCAGAAGCCGCAATTCCTTTACGGCCTGGTCTTAAGAAGTCACACAGTGTCACCTCTGCCATCGTCAACTGATCACACAAACCAGCTCTCTTTGTTTAACAAGACTAAAAAAGGGTGTGAATACCTGGAAGTGGGGATTATGGGGGCCATTCTGAACCTCGCACACACCTTCTCTAAAATTTCCATTTTCTCAAACCCCCCTTCCCTGCTTTAATGTTTTCTATTTAGAACTTATCATCATACAACATACTTCTTACTCTTTGTCTGTTTCCCACAGTAGAACGTAAGCTCCGCAAGGACAAGCATGTTTGTATGCTTTGGTCACTATCCTATCCCCTGCATGTAACACAACAGCTGTTACAAAGAAATCATTCAATAAATGGAATTTAGATGAACAGATGCAAAGAGGAAGGGACATGGATGTCAGGTAGGCAGTGGCAATCAATGTCTACTTTACTCATAAAGGTGAGGTCTTTGAGACGTCCAGCTTTTAGGACCTTTGCAAGTCCATGCATGTATGTCCATACGCGTTACTGAGATAACATTTCTAAAATAGGCCCCTGGAAACAAGAATAAATCAGGCAATTTTCATAAGGCAAACTGTTGCATGGTGCTTTCACACATGGCCCTCAAAGCTCAGGATCTCCATAGCCACCGTGAACTTGACAAAGACATAGGCACCATAATACAAAGACCACAAAGTAACCTAGAAATACAGAGTCTCCAATTCTATCTTGATTCTGCCTCTAAACCAAAGACTCATCAATTTAACTCTCTGGGACTCAGCTTCCATGTTCGTAAGAAACACAATATTTATCAGTAAGACCTCATCCCAATTATAACGTCACTGAAGCTGGATGCTAACAGTATATGTCCATGGTTTTTAAAAAACTCTTCAGGTAAGAAAATCCGAAGTATGCAAGTAGGTTTGTCTAAACATAGATCTGTGTCTTACTGTAAAATTCCATTTGTGAATTGTTATTCCAAGTACTGGACCCACCTTATAATCACTGTATAACATGCTTGAAATATAATTGTCATGACATATTCTCCAGAAAGGTCAAAATAATCCTTATTACAACTTTATAACTGACCATAAAAAGAGAAAGTCAGACCCCATCCTTCTTGGAAAGCACAGCAAACAAACAAAAATGTCTCCTTTTCAAAGATTATGTTTAGTGAAGGACAGACGCAAAGAGAGAGAAAAGTAGTATCAGCTAATACTGTATCCAAACACCTTAAAAAGAAATTAACAAAAATGGGTTTATTAAACTCCCTAAAATCTAGTTCCAAAAGAACTCAAAATATTTTACCATCAACCAAAAATACAGCCCCAATTGTATCAACATTGTATTAGTTATCTATTGCTGCATAAGAGATTACCTCAAAATCTAGTGGCCTAAAACCACTAATATTAACCTCATCACAGTTTCTGAGGGTCAGCCAATCTAGATAGCTATAATCATAAGACACTGGAAAATTACGTGACTCCAATTTAAAATGGCTGTTTAACATGAAAACTACTTTTTGAACTACCCCTTCTGATTTTTCACCTCCACAATTATGCTACTGAAGGCAAAGAGAAGAAACTGATTGTAGCAGCTGTACTAGAACCTCAATCAGAATATGTCTCTCTCATTACCAATAAGTAACAACAAACCCATCAAGAAAAGTCTAATAATTCCAAGACTCCTCATGACAATTCTCAGGCATTTTAAAATTTAAATGTGCTTTAAATGTTAAGTGTACTTCACCCTAATCTAATTCTATAAAAATAGATACCTGATTCAAACAACCCATTTTTCCACCATGCAAATAAATGAATATTAGATGTGAAAAGCACATTTGGAAAATGTTAGGTACGTTTATACAGATAAAGCACGCCATGAGATATATTGGTCAGTTTATTTGATGGCAGCTAGTATTGTATATTTTCTGGCCACCAAGCATCTGTATTCCTAAAAGCAGCTCGGTTTTCTTTTGTGTTAATATGTTTCCCAACTAGATCCTCTCTTGAGGAACCATTCAAACAGGGTATTCACCCTCCTATAAAATAGACCCATCCTACAATGAAGAGACTTTGAAATACAGACAGTGAAAAAGTTCTGATTAGATTCTTCCCTGAATCTAATCCTTTCTGAGCTGGAGTTTTCAGCTCAGCTAGAGATTTCCCCAACTCCCCTTTCTCCAACAAAGTCCATCTTTGCTTAAACTAAGCCATAGCAGCCTTCAGTTGTTTGCAACACTGACTGACAGCATAGGTTACTATGTATCATTTGTGGGCTCAGTCTTAGTACCATATAGTGTTCCTTCATCTGCCAAGGGCATTCTGCTATTGGTGAACAGGCAAAAAGAGGGAGAGTTACCGTTAACATTCTAAGAATCTTACCTAACCTGACACCTATGGACAGTGCTGGAGCCTCTCAGAAACCTAGTCACAGGTGCCCACGCAAGCTTCATCTTGCCAGAAATCACAGGAAAGCAAAATTGAGATGTACCTTTAAATATATCCTGTTTCATACAAAGGCATGTTTTGCTTTGCAAAAAGGATCTCTAAGATTTGCTTTAAGATGGTGCTCTCATTTTTGCATGTCTATTAAAATTTTAAATGGGTCTACCACAAACTGCAGCGTATGTGTACAAGGATGCACGAAGACAGATGTTGGTAAACTACCATCTTAATGTCAATAAAAATATAAACAATATAAACATCTAGTAAAGGAGAAGCAAATAAATAACTATAAAATAGCCACAATGTGAAAATACTGTCCAACAGTTTAAAACAGGAAGTATATACAAATTGAAGAAGATTAACATAAACAAGGTACAAATAGGACACATTTTTTAAAAGTATGAAATTCATATACACACATACACACAAAAACATATATGTCATACCTTCTATGTTTAAAAATATAAGAACAAGGATTGGGCACAGCGGCTCACGCCTGTAATCCCAGCACTTTGGGAGGCCAAGGTGGATCACCTGAGGTCAGGAGTTCACGACCAGCCTGGCCAACATGCGGAAACCCCACCTCTACTAAAAAATACAAAAATCAGCTGGGTGTGGTGGTGGGTGCCTGTAATCCCAGCTACTCGGGAGGCTGAGGCAGGGAGAATCGCTTGAACCCAGGAGGCGGGGGTTGCAGTGAGCCAAGATTGCACCATTGCACTCCAGCAGGGGTGAAAGAGCAAGACTCGGTTTCAAAAATAAAAAATAAAAATAAATAAATAAAAGAACAGGATATTAAATATTTCCTAAGAAAATATAAACATACATACACGTTAAAAGCAAACTAGTAGTATATGCACAAAACTAGTGCTAGCTTTTATTTGAGAAGAAGGGGAGAAGGGTCTGGGGTTAGGAAACAAGGAAATGAGGTTTGTATGAAACATTTCAACTTTTCGCCCAGAGAAAATAACTATGTATTGCTTAGAATAATTAAAAATCAATCATAAAAATAAAGTAGCCTTAAAAATTTAGTCCAACTCCTCTTAAGTCAACTCAGCTATCAGGACTTCGCAGAAACAGACCTAAAATAAAAGGAGTTTCAGCAGTTATGGAACGATGGCTCCCAGCAAAGTCTGTAGTTAAGCACCCCAGTCCTTCCGGACCTGCTATGGGTATACGCAGGATTTGTTCTATGTGTAGCTGTAGCTACTCCTCTGGATTTGTTCTATGTGTAGTTGTTGCTACTCCTCTGTAGCAAAGAAAAGAAAAATACAATGTCTCAGTGCATTTATCTTTTGATGACTGTGTGGGCTTCCCTCACACTGCATCATCACCTATTTCATTAAGTTCATCACATTCTCTCACTAATTAACCTTTAGCAGCACCTGGGCTTCAGTCAGCGAGCGTAAATCTCATTCCCATAACTTAGGGTGCGAGACTCTGTTTTATTTCAAATCCATCTTTCAGGGAGAGCTTTCAAATACGTTGAATCCTATAGCACTCTTTTTCATCACCTACACATATCTTTTCACCGCATTTCCAGTTTATAAAATAAAACCCTGTAAAATTATTCATGAAATTTCCCATGCTGCAGGTTCCCATAATCTATTCAGGTAAGAAATGCAAAAAACAAACCATCCACCATTATGTTGATTTGAAAGCATTAATTGTGGCCATGGTTTTATGAAGAATGTTATCTATTTCCATCCTGTACAAATTTAGGAGAAACTGTGGTTTCCTGTTCCAGGGTGTTGTCCAAAAATGACTCCACAGAAGTCTGCAAAAATAATCTTTGACGTTTTGTTTCAAGAGGAATACTTGGAGTGTTTCCCACTGAGAGAGGAAATGGGTTTGTCCCAACTGCAAAAGGCCCAGTGTACTCCAAAGACTGCAAGAACAAACGCAATTTAGGTTTGAACAATGTTTAATGAAATCATTATTTCACAAACACTCCGGGAAGGAACTTTTGCTGTGATATCAAACTGTTCTCCAGCCAGATGGCCTGACTTCCCTGAACTTCAGTTTCCTCAACTATAATGTGAAGATGAATTGAATTACCTGCCTCTTTATGAGATTTATTGTAAGGAATAAAACAAGTGCATTGTGCTTGGCAGAGTGCCTGACACATAGTAGGAGCACAGTACAGGTATTTTACACATGTATACATGTGTGTGGGTGTGTCTTCTCCTTTAATAAAGCATTAGATTGAGCATAAAGACGACTCAAGATATAGTATACTGAGCAATTTAGGGAAGAGCAAGTCTTTATATTCCATGTTCATTATAGGAACAACCTGGTTTAACAAAACGCATAATGAATAAAAATAGTCTGAAATAATTCTAATATGAAAAGATAAAATACATTTGCAAGACCTGATGAGTTGCTATAAGATATATTAAGATACTCTAAAGTATAACTCCACTTTGGAAAAGAACAGCCTTAACTTGGAAAAGATAAAAAATGCAAATGTTCCTTCAGCATTTTCCTTTAATTCTGACTCACTGAATGTGAAGTTTGCCAACAGAGGATTTCAGGGCCAAAATGGGCTGCTCAGAGGTCAGGCACACAAAGTGCTTTCCCTTGACCAAAGATCATACAGAGCCTGCCTAGGGCAAAGACTGCAGCAAGGCTGTGACTTCAGCCCCACCCAGCAGTCACAACCACGCGTGAAGGTGGGGGCATGGCGAGAGAGAGTGCAAACATGGAGGGAGGTTTTCACCTCTACCCCAAGCCTAAGAGGCTTTTCACTGCCAGTCCTGTAGCATGAGGCACTCCAGGACATGCACTTCAGCCAATGCAAAGTGTGCATGAGAATTGCCTACGTCCTCAGCCACAGCTCAAAACCAGGAAAGGCTCCAGGTTCCCTAACACTCATCAACTAGAGTAACAAACCCTTCATCTGCATAAGTATTTACAGCTCATGGCAGGGGACAAGGCGTCTCTGCAAATACTTTCATAAAGTCTGAGGAAGAAGACAAGGGGAAAAGCAAGCTGGATCCAAAGGGAAGCTCTCTATATAGAATGCAATTATGTAAGAGTTTAACAGTGGAAGCAGAATCAGAAATTCGTCCGTCACAGGACAGAAGGCTGTCTTAAGCCTCTGTCTGCATCTCTTCCAGAACAGGAAGTCTCTGTGAATATCTGGACATGTTGACCAGCCCAACTTTAAGGCAGAGATTTTTTTTTTCAAAGATCATTTATTTGTTTTGTTCTGGATTTCCAGACAAAGAACATGCTTCATACAATCATTTGAACCTCTTCTATCTTCTTGGCTTGAGTTTTTGGAGCAATGAGCAACCTGGAATCCCCGAAGGAGGGAGGTCTATTAGAATTTTCTGCAGTGATAGCCATGTTCAGTGTCCTCGCTGTCCAAGATGGTAGCCACACTGGCTCCTGAGCCCTCAAAATACAGCCGGTGAGACTGAGTGCATGAGTGTCCTGGGGTGCTAATAACAACACACCACAAACTGGGTGCCTAAAACAACAGTTGTTGTCTCACAGCTCTGGAGGGCAGAAGTCCAAGATCAAGGTGTCAGCAGCACTGGGCCCTTCTCAGAGCCATGAGGGGAAGATCTACTCCATGCCCCTCTTGAAGTTTCCCGTGGGCTGATGGCAATCTTCGGGGGGTTCCTTGGCCAGTAGATGCCTTGCCCTGATCCATGCCTTAACATTTGTGTGGTGTTCTCCCCGTGTGCTTGTATCTCCATCCAAATTTCCCATTTACATAAGGACACCTGTTATACTGGATTAGGTGCCCATTCTACTCCCGTATGGCATCATCTTAACTCATTATATCTGTAGCAACCTTATTTCCAAAGAAGGTCACTTTCTGAAGTACTAGGGGTTAGGAATTCAACATATGACTGGGGGAAAGGGGAAACAACTCCACTCCAAACACCGAAGAATTGAATTTTTAATTTTATTTTTCCATCTATTTGAATGTGAATAGCCACATGTGGCTAGTGGTTACTGTACTAGACAGCACAGTCGCAAAATATTGTCCCTCTCTCTCTATTTTTTGAGACAGGGTCTAGCTCTGATACCCAGACTGGAGTGCAGTGGTGCCATCTTAGCTCACTGCAACCTCCACCTCCTGGACTCAAGCAATCCTCCAACCTCAGCTTCCTAAGTAGCTGGGACTATAGGCATGTGCCACCACACCTGGCTAATTTTTCTATTTTTAGTAGAGACGGGGTTTTGCCATGTTACCCAGGTTGGTCTTGAGCTCCTGGGCTCAAGTGATCTGTCTACTTCAACCTCCCAAGTGCTGGGATTACAAGCATGAGCCACCACGCCCAATAAAAATATTGTCTCTCTTTCACTGTGCTTTTACCAAGAGCTTGCTGTGTTCTAGGTACTGTGGCAAGCTCTATGCATAGAAGGCACTGGTGCCACCAGTTACCCAAGGAGGAAGCCCAAGTTCAGAGAAGGTAAATAAGGTACTTTATTCAAGGTCAATGAGCCTCAGAGTCAGGAAGGGAATCCAGATGGGTGTTTTTTTTGACTCTGAAGCCTGTTTCTTGAGCTGCCCCAGTGGCTGTTTCCTTTACAATTTAAATAAGAAACCACCCTAGGACCTGCAACCGTCACATGGATGACTACATTCCTAGCTGCTTCTTATAGGAAGACAATTCATCACTCGGATATTAATTGCTATTGTACGAATTAATTACTTGCTATTGTAGCTTTAAGCCTTAACAATGTAACAATAATTGTCTCTTTTAAATTACAGGTATAAATAATAAAATACAGCAAATCAAATATTTCGAGCATTTATCAGAGATTAGACACCGTAGTGAGTGCTTTAGGCAGATCTTCTTTAATCTTCACAATAATTACTATTATTATCCCTATTTAATGGATGAGCAAGCTGAGGCTTTCAAAGGTTAAGCACTTTGCTCAAGGTGACAGCGCAAATTAATGTTACATCTGGAACCCAAATTCACATCCCAAACTGGGACCCTCCCTCAGTCTTCTGCACCCACTAAAAAACCTTGACAGTTCATTTCACCAAGCACCTATCAGGTATTTGGCAGGTGCCTTTTAAATCACTAATACTTTAAAAACACAAAAGAATAGGAAACAACCTCCACTCACAAAATGCTGGGATTTCAAAACTGTCTCCCTGAACCTCTGACATTTGATTTCGTACAACTTATTAATATACATGCTTATGGACCAAAAATAATGGAAAATACATTATAAGACATGAAATATTTCACAGTCTCCGAAGTGATTCACCTTGCAAAGCAGCCACCCCGTGTAACAGAGAACCAAAGAGAGCTTCCTTTTTTCATCTTCCACAATATACACCTTTACAGAGAGAATACTCCTTGAAGACATTTCTGGTGAGAGGTTTAACTCAAGTAATAGCTTTGCATGAGAGTTTAAGGATGAAGTATGTGATTTTAAAAACAGCATCATGGGTTTTCAAGGGGAAAATGGAAATGTTATTTCAAGTCCCGGGATAATAGGATCAATAGACATCTTCCCAGTGGAAACATTTGCCTTTGGCTGCCTAAAGCAACAGTCTCTGCTGTTTGCCTCAAGAGGCCACCCCACGGTTTAATTGTCCTCACTGTTAAGTTATTTGTCCTCATCTATAACCTAAAATTATTTGTTAAATTTCAACACGGTAACCACAAGCTGCTCTCCCATCACCTCCCTCAGTTTTCTGCACCCATTAAAAACCTTGACAGTTCATTCACCAAGCACCTACCAGGTATTTGGCAGGTGCCTTTTAAATCACTAATACTTTAAAAACACAAAAGAAGAACATGAAACAACTCCACTCATAAAATGCTTAAGGTAGGTTGCTGGGGAAAGTGTGACAAACCCAAAAGAAAGAGAATGACAAAATGAATGAATCAATTTTCCCTTTATTGATAAACAACCACGTAAGAACTGAATATTTAGCACGTATGTGCCAAGCACTGTAATAAGATTAGAAACAACAAATAAGGCAGATATAGCCTTGCCCTAGTTTATATAGTTAAAAAACCTTTCAACTATTGCCAGTTATTTGATGTAGGTATCCCTATTACTATCTAACCATTCAATGTCCCTTTAAAGTCTGATGAAATTGTTCTAGAAACTAGGGTTGCCAGATTTAGCAAATAATATACAGATGCTGGCCAGGTGTGGTGGCTCATGCCTGTAATCCCAGCACTTTAGGAGACCAAGGCGGTAGGACTGCTTGAGGCCAGGAGTTCGAGACCACCCTGTTCAATATAGCAAGATACGCATCTCTACCAAACAGGGGGAAAAAAAAAAAAAGCCAGATGTGGCGGCGTACACCTATAGTCCCATCAACTTGGGAGGATTACTTGAGCCCATGAGTTCAAGGCTACACTAAGCTATGATCACATGACTGTACTCCAGCCTGAGTGACAGGGCGAGACTCTCCCTCTTAAAAACACAGTAACAACAACAACAAAAACAGATGCCCACTTAAATTTGAATTTCTGATACAGGACAAATAACTTTTAGGATAAGTATGTCACAAATATTGAATGGGATTTACTTATCCTAAAAAATTATTTGTCATTTATCTCAAATTCAGATAAAATTCAAATTTAAGTGGGCATCCTGTATTTTATCTAGCAAGGCTAATACGCCATTTCATCAGTAGTGTCAACTTGCAATACAAATATAAAAACAGACTTTTTTTCAGCTGGGCGTGGTGGCTCACGCCTGTAATCCTAGCACTTTGGGAGGCAAAGGCAGGCAGATCACCTCAGGTCAGGAGTTCGAGGCCAGCCTGGACAATATGGTGAAACCCCATCTCTACTAAAAAATACAAATATAGCCGGGCCTGGGGGCACATGCCTGTAATCCCAGCTACTCGGGAGGCTGAGGCAGGAGAATCGCTTGAAACCGGGAGGCGGAATTTGCAGTGAGACGAGATTGTGCCACTGCACTCCAGCCTGGGCGACAGAATGAGACTCCATTTCAAAAAAAAAAAAAAAAAGAGTTGTAAAATGTGAATTTTCCAAGCTATCAATGACATGAACATAAACTATAATATTATTTTACTTCACCTGAAATTTGCAGCATTTTAAGTGCATGGAATTGGTGACTTGGAAAACTGGGTTTTTTGTTTTTTTTTTTAAAGAAATGTCCAGTTTTAAGAGATTTTCTGCTGGTGCTGACATCAACTAATAATGTTTTTACTTTCACTCTGTTAGAAAATGATTTGAGCTACGATTTCAGAGTTGTAAAGAAGGAAATTTTTCTAGTCACTGGAAACCTGCCGATAGAATAAACATTTTTGGTAGTAAAAAAAGAGAAGAAAATTGCCTTAGGGATAAACCTCTTAGTTTTGAGAAAGACTGTAGAATCTAGGAACTGCCAACATTATTAAAATATCTGACATACAACCCTAAGTCATCATTTTAACTTCTTCTTCACCAAAACTTTTCAATGAATGTTTCATTTTGCCCACCTTGAATTGTCTCAGGATACTCCCTGAAGATAGATACTATCTTACATTGTATTCATTTATATCTCTTATTTTTTATTTGTACATGGGTCTGTTTCTATGATCCGTGTGTATGTATGTGTGTGATATACATGTGTGTGTATATATACAATATAATAATCTATATTGGCAGTACCACACTGTTTTAAATACCAACTTTATTCTATGCTTTTTCTTACAGTATAAACCCTTGATTTTGTTTGTTTTGTTTTTTCAAGTTATTTCTGATGGTTCTTGCTTCAGATGGGCTATAGATTAACTTGGCCATTTTCAAATATTGGTGGGATTGTGGCTTATCAAAATTTAAATTGACATTCGGTAAAACTGGATTTTCTTTGCAGAATGAATCAATATGAAACTGAGAGATAAAAAACTTCTTCTATGAAGTGGGAAGTAGTATAAATCAGGCTAGAGCAACAGAGCTGTAAGAGAGATACCAGACATTTCATGAAATATAATTTGGATTTCCATTTGATTTGCAGTGGCTTGGGCATGTATTAATAATGATGGTGGCCGTAATAGGCTCTCAAATCTCAGTGGTTCAACAGAATAAAAGTTTGTTCTTAACTTATGCAAAGTTAGTAGCACAGGTATGGTGAGTCAGTATGCTCCCCTCCAGGTTGTCATTCAGGGACCAAGTCTCCTTCTGTCTTGTAGCTCTGCCATCCCCATCTAACTGGGAACATTTTATGGGTCAGGCCTAGAAGTAGTAAATATTACTCTGCCACTTTCCATTGGCTTTTTCTTTTTCTTTTTTTTTTTTTTTTTTTGCCACACATACATTGCCCTGAGAGGGTTTGAAAAATTCACTTTATCTGTGTCATCCAGAAAAAAGGAAACAAGTTGTGTTGTAGCAGTAGAAATCTCTGTTACAGCATAATTTAAATGTGTACTGCACATACTAAATGTAAGTTGGGTTGATTTAATGTGGGCCTTCAATATCTTTTCTATTATCTTTCCTCTCTTGCCCTGGAATACAAGGAGGGGAACATGTAATGAAAGTAAATCTGAACTGTCTTCCTAAAGGGACATTTCTGGTACTTTCGAAGGTGCAGACTGAAGACTTGAGTCAAGGATTGCTGCTCACCAGACTGGCGAGAGAGCATATAAATGTGTTTGTGTGTAGTGTGCATGTATGTGTTGCAGTGAAATTACAGCTTTCCAAGTGTATGGCATTGCCTTTAGAAGCAATAAGAAACGTTATTGCTGCTGAGTGATGGATGCACATAGAATTGTGATATTTGAAGGAGGAGGTTGCTAACCTTGGCTGTTCTGAACTAAACATGGTATAGGGTGTGATGCATACTCAGAGACAGGCTCATTTATCTCTTGTCCTGTTCAGTGCTGCATTGGTTCTTATAACTGTGTTTATTAAATAAAACTAGAAATTGCAATCCTATAAAGAAACATTTAGCTAAGGCTTTCATTTCTTGTATACTTATCAGGGTTGCTGTGTCACAACAAACTCTGTGCATACCATCTACAATGACTGTCATAGAGTTGTGTGGTGACCCAAGTTCTCTTGTTCCACCCTTCCACCATCGGGATTTTTATGGGTAATTTGCCTGAAATTTTTAACTCTTAGAGCTCTGGTACAAAAAGTCTGTTTTGTTTTGTTTTGTTTTGTTTTTGTTTTTGTTTTTGAGATGGAGTCTCGCTCTGTCGCCCTGGCACATTCCTTTATCGTCCTGTATTTACACATCTTTCTCAAGCAGCTTTACTATTCCACAGTAGTACTCTCTTTTTCTCTTACTTTCAGCTTATTTCACTTGGTAAATTGCCAGTGGACAGAAGCACATGACTGTTCTTTTGTGGTGCCATTTCCTAAGCATGAAAACATTTCTTAAGGGCAGAGGGGTAAGGTGGGGGTGGTGGTGGACGAGGGCTAAGTTTAATCACATCTTGTTTGACCTGACAGTGAAACGGATTCAATAAAAAGGTTTGAAAAGAGTCCACTTTGTACCTCCTGTTAGTTCAATGCCCCATTAGTCTGGATAATGACTTTATACCTACAGGACAAAGATATTTTTTTCTCTTTCTTTTAAAAGAAACAAGAAACCTCACAAAACTAAAATCACTGTAAAGAGAGCAACAGGCTCTTAATTTCTCCACCTAGAGAGTGCACCTGGCCGCCTCGCTTTAACTGATGGCTTTTCAGCAAACACATGACCTGGGAGAACAAATATTAAATAGAAAGGTTCTTTCCTGCTCACTATAATATGACTGTGTCAAGTATATATAAAACATCTCTTTAACATTTTTGGCGTAAACTTCTATAACGGTCCCAATATATACGTTGATGCTTTTTTCATTGTTAAAGTTGGTAAGATAATCAGTGGATGGAAAAGGGCATTATTAAGATAGCTACCTATCGGCCGGGTGTGGTGGCTCACATCTGTAATCCCAGCACTTTGGGAGGCCAAGGCCAGTGGATCACTTGAGGTCAGGAGTTCGAGACCAGCCTGGCCAACAGGGTGAAACCCCACCTCTACTAAAAATACAAAAATTAGCCAGGCATAGCGGCAGGCCCCTGGAGATCCAGCTACTCGGGAGGCTGAGGCAGAAGAATTGCTTGCCCAGGTGGTGGAGGTTGCAGTGAGCAGAGATCTTGCCACTGTACTCCAGCCTGGGTGACAGAGCAAGACCTCATCTCAAAAAAAAAAAAAAAAAAACAAACAAACAAAAAAAACTCCATCTGAAATTTTCTGTATCCTATATATTTGTTTACTTGTGCATTGTTTGTCTCCACATGACCTGTCCCTCCCCCAATATAAACTCCAAAGGTAAAAATATATTCTCTGTCCCATGTACCCACCCACAGAGTGCCCAGTCATCAATGATTCTTTGATAAAAGAATATTTATTCCTAGAGCTTAAATTAGTATGACCAAAGCAAGAAATCATTACACAATTCACACTGACATCATTTGTAATAAAACCCAAATCATCCTCATTACACACTTACAAAGTGCTTATTAAATCACTTTAATAGAAGAAAGCTTAAGTTTTTTGCCCTAAAACAATAAGATGCATTTGCCCAAATCATAATTCAACATATAAAGCATTTACTTCTTGAATTATATGGGCTTAAAAACCCTAATATTTTAAATTTTAAAGATTTAGTAACTAAAGAATACAGATCGAAATGGGTCCTGGATATTCAGACAGAAAACTAGCAAAAAATATTCTTAAGAATGTTAACTACACTTAGTCAAAAAACTAAAAGCAACCTAAGTGACTGAAGCAAAATCATATCAATAAAGTCACAATCACATAAATTAATATGATTTAGACATTACAAGTGCCTAGACCCTAATACTACCAGGAAATGTTTATGATATAATATCAAGGGGAAAATGCAGGCACACATCTAAATATATATGTGCATATAAACTATAAGTGTATACATAAATATATGTGTGCTATATTCTCTAAATTCCAAGACTCCATGAATTCTGAAATACGCAGTCATTTTAATAGCAGCTTTTTTGGAGGAAAAAGAAATAGTACCACATAAAATACACACAACTCTAAGATGCATTAGGATTACAAAATAAATACCAAATGCATTGAAGGGTGTGAGCTTTATAACGACAAAAAATGCTGTGTAGGCAACGAGGGGGAAGGGGGTGAGAGTTGAGAGGTGAGGGAAGCAGGTATGGTACAGAAAGAAAATTCAGAAAATGTCCAAAGCAATTCTTTTTCCCTAATGTAATTAATTGCGATTTTATTTCTCTAAATGTTTATTTTCCAAATTCTCTATATGGAACATGTGTTAGCTCTATAACCTTAAAATAGACTTCATTAAAAATATTTTACAGGCATTTTTTTCAAATACGAAAGTACTGTTGCTATATAGGTCTATTTTAAAGCAAATTCCTATCTTTTCAGTTCAAGTCCCAACTCTGACAAGGTTAGTTTAAAATGTTTTAAGCTGTGGCTCTTGGAGCTGGTCCTTCCCAGAAATTCCAGCCTTCTAGCAGCTGAAGAATATTAACTATTTTACTTTAGTTTGTTTTTGCATTTATCTTCCTTGTTGATCTGGGGCTTCCAGGAGCAGCTGGACATATTTTTAAAGAAACAGAACAGTATCATAGAATAGTCTCTTGTGTCTACTACATTCTGTGCATCTAAAATAAGATTCATTCTACAGAGGCCAAACTCTAATCTACCGAACAGTAAATATTTTTCAGGTGTAATCAACTTAAGAGCTATTTAAATATATTTAACACATTAAATAAGCTTTTCCTGCCTCCAATAAAAGTAATTTTCTGTGAAATTTCTTTTCTCAGTGATGTTACTTTCTTTAAAGCCCCTAATTGAAAGTTTATCTATTATCTTAAAGGATATATGCCTTGTTGGTTTTAGATTTGCTTACAATATTAAAATTTTTCTGGTAGGAACACATAAATCAGAGACCTGAAAACTCCTCTCAATGCTTATTGAATTCATAAAGCTTTGGTTTTGCAGACATTTTAATTAATATGTGCTAACTTCACACTATTGTTCACTTAAAGACTAGCCTATTAAGCATGAAAAGCTTAGATTTTATATAGCTCCTTTTAAAATGCAAACTCTCAGAATTCTGGAAACAAAGACACTAATAACATGCTATCAATTTTATTTACAGAAACATAAGACAAGAACTAATTCCAAATGACAGTTTTAGCAAGAGAAAGCAAATGAAGAAGAAAAAGCTCAGGGAGAGTGGTAAGAATACCCAATATGTCACTTTTTGACCAGTCATTTGATATGGAACATTACAGTGTTATTGAAATAAAACTTAGTCAACTATTTTTAAAAAGTCATTCTGGTATTTCGTTCAAAAGGTCCAAATACAAGCAGATTTATACCATCACTTATTTAACAGACTGTTTTTATTTAAGGGATGCCCAGCCATAAACTGTTGAAGAGTTTTAAAGGAAAAGCCTGATTTTAATCACCATGTGGGGCCAAAATATCACATTGTGGGCACTCTGTCCATTCACACACATGAAAAACTTGAAGGTATGATGAAACTTCAGGGAGGTTAAATTTGGCCATCTTATTTTGAAACTAAATCCAAAAGGGACCTTTCAAAGGGAAAAGAAACTATATAAACCTGTCTAGTTTTGGTGGCCTAAGTCTCCAGTCAGGCCCAACTTCTAGGGTTAATTATTTGAAACCAAAAACGATTCTTCAACTGATTTCAGGTAGATAACCCAACAGCACAACCTTCCCCATTTAACTATTTCTCACATACTGAGTTCAGGACAATAATTCTGAGCACCTTCACCACTTGTCCTAGAAACCAGCTTTTAGGCCCAGTTCCCTCCCATTCACCATCTGAAATCTCAGGGCAGTTGTTTAACCATCCCGGTGTTGTGAACTTAATTGTGCCTCCCCTGCAACATTCATATGTTGAAGCCCTCACAGGGCTGTATTTGGAGACAGGGTTTTTAAAGGGGTGAATAAGGTTAAATGTGGGCAAAAGTGTCGGGGGCCTGATCCATTAAGGCTGATGTCCCTGTAAGAGGAAGAAGAAAGACAGGGAAGGCCATGTGAAGACACACAGAGAAGGTGGCCATCTCCAAACCAAGGGGAGAGGCCTCAGAAGAAAGCAAACTTGCAATACACTGATATTTGACTGGCAGCCTCCTGCACTGTAAGAAAGCAAATTTCTGTTAAGTCACCCAGTTTGTGGTGTTATAGCTGCCCTAATGGACTAATACATCTGGTTTCAATGTCTTCACTTATTTTCAATAATCCCTCAAAATTGATCAGTGAAAGCACCCTCAAGTGAAAAATATGGTACATGTGTACGTGTACAGACATTCCTCATCCCCTTCCTTCACCTCAAACACAAAAATCCAGGCTAAAACCTTGCTATTGTTCAATCAATGCTGCTGATCCGCTCTTGTCTATGACGTACTATTCAGGCTGCACCTCCGTATTCAGCCTTTAATAGTCTAGTACCCCCTGCATGCCGAACATTCAGCAAGACATGGGCAAACAGGAGCCCTGCTTGTGACTCAACTTCCAGTTACTTTACTGTATCCCACATTTTAGGAGATATTACTGGGTAACTGTCAAAAGGTCAAGATCTAAAGATGAAAAAGCTGGATTCAGGTTGGGTGCGGTGGCTCACACCTGTGAATCCCAGCACTTTGGGTGGCTGTGGCAGGCAGATCACTTGAGGTCAGGAGTTCGAGACCAGCCTGGCCAACATGGCAAAACACTGTCTCTACTAAAAATACAAAAATTAACCAGGTCCAGTGGTTCACACCTATAATCCCAACACTTTGGGAGGCCAAGACAGGCGGATCACCTGAGGTCAGGAGTACAAGACCAGAGTGGCCAATATGATAAAACCCATCTTTACAAAAATACAAAAATTGGCCGGGCATGATGATGGGTGCCTACCTGTAATCCCAGCTACTCTGGGGGGTGAGACAGGAGAATCGCTTTAACCCAGGAGGTGAAGGCTGCAGTAAGCCGAGATTGTGCCATTGCACTCCAGCCTGGGCGACTGAGCAAGACTCCATCTCAAAAGAAAAAAAAAAAATCAGCCAGGCCTGGTGGCGTGTGCCTGTAGTCCCAGCTACTAGGGAGGCTGACGCAGGAGAACTGCTTGAACCCGGGAGGCAGAGGTTGCAGTGAGCCGAGATTGTGCCATTGCACTCCAGCCTGGGTGACAGACAGAGACTCCGTCTGAAAAAAACAAATAAAAAAACAAAAAACAACAACAACAACAAAAAAACTGGTTTCAAACAGAACTTCACCCATTTACAAACTGCATCATCTTCAGCAAGTTATTAAAACTTACTGCACCTCTATTTCCTCAACTACAAAGTGATGGCAATAGATATTATTATCTGATATTCCTAGTTCAGGCCTTGATGTCAATAATGTCTGAGAGGCATTATGCAAAGTACCCGGAAGGTAGTAAGAGCATAGTAAATAGTAGCTGCTATATTTTATTATCACTATCCCTAAGTAAAGCTGGCCTCCAGGAGACAGGAAAGGCTAGTGTCTTGTTTGGAACTGAGCCTACCATCTTTGTAGATCAACACCAGGCCTCAAAATGTTACAACTTTAAACTGCATTACTTCAACCACTTTCAAGCACTTACTATGTACTACACACTCAGAAAACAATGAGGAAGGTGAGGGGTACATGAATCAGAGAGGTCAGAGGGTAGTGGATGAACAGAAAAGGGCTATGTTCTATAACAAAGGCCTAAACAAAGAACAATGGTTTGGAAAGAGAAGAGACAAGGAAGGTAAAGACTTACCAGTGATTCCTACACATAGCTGTAAGAACAAAGAGCAGGCCTACAAATATCCAAAGAGCCATTAATCTGCAGTGGGGTTCAGGTGTGTGTGTGTGTATATATATATATATTTTTTTTTTTGGTGGGGGGGGGCGCGGGGGGTGAGACGGAGATTTACTCTTGTTGCCCAGGCTGGAGTGCAATGGCGCGATCTTAGCTCACCGCATCCTCCACCTCCCAGCTTCAAGCAATTCTCCTGCCTTAGCCTCCCAAGTAGCTGGAATTACAGGCATGTGCCACCATGCCTGGCTAATTTTGCATTTTTAACAGAGATGGGGTTTCACCATGTTGCCCAGGCTGATCTCGAACTCCTGACCTCTCAGGTGATCCACCCACCTCGGCCTCCCAAAGTGCTGGGATTACAGGTGTGAGCCACTGTGCCCGGCCCACGTGTGTATATTTTAACATATGCCCAAAGTGATCCTGATAAAAAGGTTGGTTTAAGAACCACTGATGTGACACTTCAGACTACCAACAAGGCCAGGCCATTAAGGACTTAAATAGCAGGAACGGGCTGGGCGTGGTGGTTCATGCCTATAATCCCAGCACTTTGGGAGGCTGAGGTGGCTGGATCACAAGGTCAAGAGTTCGAGCCCAGCCTGGCCAACATGGTGAAATCCCATCTCTACTAGGAATACAAAAATTAGCCAGGTGTGGTGGCGTGTGCCTGTAATCCCAGCTACTCAGGAGGCTGAGGCAGGAGAATCGCTTGAATCCAGGAGGCAGAGGTTGCAGTGAGCTGAGATCGCACCACTGCACTCCAGCCTGGGGAAGGGGGGAGTAGGAATGACATGATCCCACTGAATAGGAAATTGACTTCCACATTTACAAAGGAGGCTGGAGCAGGAGAAAGTAACAGTAGAGTCAGGAAGGGCTGACCAGAGGCTAATGGAATAACCTAAGCCCTTTTCTCTCAAGAGAATATTGAGGTAATTGAGGCACAGTAACGACCAAAGGAAGGCAGCCTGCCTCTGCCACAATGAGACACCTGGAAACTACCAAACTGGACAGCATAATTCTCAATACAAGTATAAATAATCCTTCCATGAACCTGACATTTATGATGCTGAATCTTAGGTATATTTGGACTTTATTTCTATATCTAGCTGAATTTCAGATAGAAAACACAGCCAAAAGGATTGTAATTATTAAACACAACCAAAATCAAAACCCAAGCTTTCACTAGCTTGGGTGGGCAATCTAGATGAAATATAATTCAATTGTCTAATTTCTGAGAGCTGGATTCCCAATATGTTTGCCTTAGGAAACTTCCAGGATGAGAAAAAATTGGCAGCTCACATCAGAACCAAAATGTTCATGTTTTTTTCTTTTTGAGATGGAGTCTCACTCCAGCCCAGGCTGGAGTGCAGTGGCACGATCTCAGCTCACTGCAAACTCCACCTCCTGGGTTAAAGCAATTCTCCTGCCTCAGCTTCCTGAGTAGTTGGGACTACAGGCACACGCCACCATGCCCAGCTAATTTTTGTATTTTTAGTAGAGACAGTGTTTCACCATGTTGGCCAGGATGGTCTCGATCTCCTGACCTCCTGATCCACCTGCCTCGGCCTCCCAAAGTGTTGGGATTACAGGCATGAGCCACCGTGGCAAGCCTTATGTTTTTAAGAAAAAGGATCTCACTAGGCTAGTCTTGAACTCCTGGGCTCAAGCGATCCTCCCACCTCAGCCTCCTGAGCAGCTAGGACTACAGGTACATGCCACTGTACCTGGCTAGAAGCACATTTTTAAATCAATTAAGCTCAACAGCAAACAAAGTTTTGAACTGTAAACTGACCCCCTGCCAGGGTAGTATCTTTGAGAAAAAAACACTCTTAAGGCCATAAAATAATTTATATGAAAAAACTTGACAATATAAATATTCCAGATGATTCTGAGACCAATTTTTATCAAAGCTCCATCTAACAGTTGCAACCACAAGAGACTTTTTGTGAAGAAATGACTCAGGAGAGGCAACATGTCAAAGAAAGAAGAAAAGATGCTGTAACAAACATCCTTCCAAGGCAAATGTGTTCTTTGACAAATAACCTAAAAGAGTAATATATAAGCAATCCGTTATGTTTACTTCCCAAGAAAAGCATCTTCTGAAATCCTAAGCTGACCTCCATGTTATTAATCATTTTAAGTTACTGTGCTGTGACTAATTGAAGCCAATAAAGTAGATGAGAAATAAGGAAGACCCATAACTTTGTGGATGAGAATACCTAACATTTACACAGAGCTCTCCTTTCAAAGATGAGCTTCCATAGAAAACACTTCAACACGGCTGGGCGCGGTGGCTCACGCCTGTAATCCTAGCGCTTTGGGAGGCCGAGGCGGGCACACTGCCTTAGCTCAGGAGTTCGAAACCAGCCTGGCCAACATGCTGAAACCCCGTCTCTACTAAAAATACAAAAAAAGTAGCCAGGCGTGGTGGCGGGTACCTGTAGTTCCAGCTACTCAGGAGGCTGAGGCACGAGAATTGCTTGAACCCAGGTGGCGGAGGTTGCAGCGAGCCGAGATCACACCACTGCACTCCAGCCTGGGCGACAGAGTGAGACTTGTCTCCAAAAAAAGAAAAAGAAAAGAAAGGAAAACACTTTGCCGGAATGAGGAAAGCAAGTGAAGTGCCTGGGGATAAAGGATTCACCAGGGCATTGGCACACACGCTCACTACATCCTCGCAGGGACTCTCGCTTAGGTCTGGAATTGTCACAAACACCACCCCAAGCGCAAGATCTGACATTCTGAAATAAACTAGATTAAGCCAGTAAAAGCCCTAGAGATTTCTTCTGCACGTTTTTAAGCAGATTTGCTATATCAAGCACATGCACACTGGATTTTGACAGATGTAGCAAATTGCCCTGCAAAATTGGGGGCATTATAGTGAAAGTCCTATAGTATATATTTAGGGTCATATGTAGAATTCAATTTATAACTTTCAGTCAGGAGACTCTACCTGCACCTCAGGCTAACTCTACTCCACCCTTCAAATAAAAAGAAGGAGAACGAGGTAATGCTCATAAATCAACACGTGGATAAAGAAACTGTGTACACACACACACACACACACACACACACAATGGAATACTACTCAGACATAAAAAGGGATGAACTAATGGCATTCACAGCAACCTGGATGGAATGGGATACTATTATTCTAAGTGATATAACTCAGGAATGGAAAACCAAACATCATATGTTTTCACTCATAAGTGGGAGCCAAGCTACGAGAATGCAAAGACATAGGAATGATAACGCTGGACTTTGGGGACTCAGCGGGGAAAGGGTGGGAAGAGGACGAGGGATAAAAAGCTACATATTGGGTTCAGTGTATACTGCTCAAGTGATGGATGCAGCAAAATCTGATGAATCACCACTAAAGAACTTACTCATGTAACCAAATACCCTGTTCCCCAAAAACCTACTGAAATACAAACTAGAAATAAATATTTTTTTTAAAAAAGTAAGTAAAAACCAAAGATCAGAGCAGCATATTCTGCATCTCAGTTTTCTCAGCTATAAAATGAAGATAATGATACCTACCCTACAAGATCCACTGGGGGAAGAGGGTGAGATAATGTCAGATAAGGACCTGATACCCTGAAGGCTGTACACACAGCACTTAACAGAGCTAGTTCCAAAGCCAGAAAGCCTGGGTTCAAGTCCAGGTCAGTTTCTTCCCAGTTGTATGACCCTGCCCCAGATGCTTACCCACTCTCTATGCTCCAAAACTCTGTTCTGAAGATGATCACAGTACCTATCTCATAGGGTTATGAGAATTAAATGACTTAGTCCAGGGAAGGGGTTTTGAGCATATAATAATGTTTTTAAAAAGAGATAGTTATTATTTTAGGCACCAAATTCAATATTCTAACTCCATTTCCAAATCCAATAATTTTGAAAGTGGAGCTTCTATCTCCATGTCACAACGAAAAGCACAGCTGTGGGGAGAATGTGCCCATTACAGCTAAATGGAAATGTGAATTCATTTGCATGGAATTGTGCATGCAAAGCACCCCCTTCTTGTTAGGCTGAACAACATGATTACACTTATTTTGGCAGATATAATTTTTTGATTGACTCTTTCTGGGATATTTATAAGATACAAATGTATAAATCCATGTATAAATGAAATCATCTAGAAACATTTTTAAAATATTACATTATTTTTAGAAAAACAAACCACCTAGAATAGTTATAGACAAGATGTTGTTTATTCTCTTTTAAGTAATTTTTAAATCTTCTCATCTGAACCAATTAGAAAACTTTTACCACCCATCAATATCTATCCTATGTGTGTGTTTATCTATATACAGTTTGAACCAGCAATTCTTATGAAAAACTATTTCCTTTTTGCAATGGAGAAAAAGGCACAAAAATATCATTTACCCATAAGACAGAAAACTCAAAAAGCACCCAAAATTTGGTATACCTTTTTCTCTATTTCCATGGTCATTGGCATTTTCCTAACTCATCCATTCCTGAAATTCCTAAGTCATCAATGTGAGAAACAATTGTAGATAGAATAACTGAATTAACAAAGTAAGAAGATACCAGATGGATGCTGTCCTCAACAGAATGAATGAATGGTGGCTTGAGTCTGCTTTAACTTTAAGCTGGGTTGAACATCAAGCAAGAGAAGTAACATGAGGTTAAAAAAAACAAAAACAAAAACAAAAAAACAGGTGTCACCTGCAATTTTTAAAATGGAACAAAAGGTCCTTCCTGTGTGTGGTATATTTATAAGTAAAAATTATCCCAATGATTTTATGCAAGTCAAATGACAAAATTATTCACTCAACTGCTTCCTTTCTTAACTGCTTATTCCTTCTCTTCACCATAAATGGGTATTATGCTCTTTCACAAAAGTTGTGAGACAGATGTTTACACACATATTTCTATATTTCAGTGAAAAATTCTGCAACAGCAGCTAGGAGTATCCTGGGTTATGCCTGAATAATGCCTCCATGAAAATAGGAAAGATACTCATCAGTATCAGTATCTTTTTATCAGTGAGATTAAATAGATGGATCACTAAAGGAATATATTTTGCAGCTAAATGTCCATCACTGACCCGATATTCCTCAAAAACTTGAGAATATCAGACAGTACAAGCTAAGGCTTCAAAGGCTGAACCCAGATGTCTGTTATTTAAACATTCTCATTAGGTCTTTGAAAAAAGAAAGGAAGCCACCAAGTAAAAACAAAGCACAAATTTCACTACAGCTCCACAAATTTTGATGCATTTATACCTCCCGATAAAGAGATCCATCGGCAGGGCGCAGTGGCCCATGCCTGTGATCCCAGCACTTTGGAAGGCCGAGGCAGGTGGATCACCTGAGGTCGGGAGTTCGAGACCAGCCTGACCAACATGGAGAATCCCCATCTCTACTAAAAACGCAAAATTAGCCAGGTGTGGTGGCGCGTGCCTGTAATCCCAGCTACTCGGGAGGCTGAGGCAGGAGAATCACTTGAACCTGAGAGGTGGAGGTTGCAGTGAACCGAGATCACGGCATTGCACTCCAGCATGGGCAACAAGAGCGAAACTCCATCTCCAAAAAAAAAAAAAAAAAAAAAAAACAAAAACAAAAAGAACCATCACCAGTTTTAAGTAAGTCGTAAGTCGAAGATTCAAAGATGAGAACATTGTGGACAAATCTGTCAAGAATCAGCAAACCTGGAGAAGCCCCTAAAGTTTGTTTTCTATTTAAAAGATATCTATAGACAGACAGTTGGAGAGATTGACAGATTTCTGGGTTTTATGGTTGAACTGTAATTACACAACTAAATTAAACATTATCAACCTAAAAGATGATAGTATTCTTCCACGACAACAGAGTAAGACAGTTCACACCGTATAATTCCAAAGCATAGCAGTCTTGAAATTCACACAGTGAAGTTTCCAAAAATACGGCAATTCTGATTTGCTACACAGGTTTTCAGAACTGGCAGTATTCCCAGGGTTATGCCACATGACATCACAGCAATTCTCAGAGCTGGCTTTTAAATGCATTTTTCAGTGAATAAATTTGACCAGCTTGTGATGTAAATCTAACTTTTAAGGACAACTACTGTGTATAACAAAGATGCTGTCTTCACACTGCAGTATTTAAATCACCACATGCAAAGGTTTCTCCTCTTCTTTTCTGTGAGCTATCCACCATGTGGAGGATACAAGAACATCACAGCATTATAAAAACTAAAATGAAGTAGTCTTTAGTTCCACACTAAATCAACAGTCCCAACCAGATCACAAGCAAGACAACCTCTTCCTCCAAAATACACAGGCGCTCTGTCTCCTTTCATTCCAAGTTCAGGACCATGTTACACCAGCTAAATTAATCTACCGGGTGATTTTCTTGACTGTATGACTCTCACTTGAAGGATGACAGAAATTCTCAATTAAAAAAACCAAAAGGAAGCTGTGTCAGACAGCAACAAAACAACAAAAAATCCTGCAAGAGTCATCACTGTTGGAAATATACTTTTCCTGTGGATTAATACACTCTCCCTGACAACCTGTCATGTGATTTCATCCAAACTGTAGTCGCATCAAATCCAAGAGAAAGAGACAGCAGGAAGGGTTGGACAGTATTTGCTTTTGGAGTAGTTAACCCATGAAGGCTTTCTTCGGGCCTGATCCTTTAAGCCCAAGTATGTCCCTGGTGGTGTCGTTTAAGGCAGTGATCGGGCTAAGTGAGGCATGATAAATGGCCCCCAGCCTGCACCCGCCTCGACAGAGGCCTGTTTGGCCCTGGCCACGGAAACAGAAAGGTCATTCATTACCCAATGTGAACAAACAGAGTGCACGTTTGTGATAAATAACGGTCATTATTGAACTACAACGCTGTCTGGGAATTCCTCAACACTTCCTTGACATTAATGTACTATTTGTGGAGGGCTCAGCGAGGCTCTCTCAATATTATTTAGTGCTTCATGTTTTATGTGGGACACCACAGAGACATTTACTTCGCCTTTGTTGGGATGCATGAGTCGGAACAAATACTGAGTATCTTCCTTCATATCCCATGCCAAGTAAGTTCCTTCTCTCTCACTCATAGGCACGTACTCGGGCACACACAGGCAAGCTCATGCACACACATACACACCACGTGCTAAGGATATATATCTATATAACACATGCAGATGCTGACAAAACCTACACTTTAAATATTGGAGAAATCATCTGTTCTAGGCTTTCACCTCTTCTGGGTACAGAATCAGTCATATAGGTAAATATCTTCCACCCATGACCAAGGGAAAAAAAGGAAATATAGGTTATTGGCCCAAATAAACAGATCCCTCAGGGACATGAAAACCACAGCTCACCTCTTTTCACATAATCCCTGTCACTGTGCCTTCACACAAGCTGCTGTCACTGCAGGCAAGGCTTGTCACCCTGTCCCCTGGAGGTCTTCACCAAGCCAATTCCCATTGGCTCAAGTCCAATACTATCCTATCTGAAGCCTTTCCAATGCATCCGACGCCAACCATGTGTAGTCACTCCTCCCCTGGGTTCACACAGCACTTCCTCTGGGTTCACACAGCACTTCCTTGAAAGGCCAGATGAGACACATGTTGGTTACAAGTCCATGCATTCACTTTCTACCTATTTGGTGTTAAGCATGGGCCAGGCACTATGAAAATGAAAGACTACGTGCAAAACACACCTTGTCTACCTTGTTCTAGTCTAAAAGCATCTTCTCCATGGAGTAGCTAGAACTTAGATTTCTTCACTTGAATATTCCCAGACGCTACTGACTATGCCTGGTATGTTATAGTTGTGCAACACATGTGTCGCTGTATGAAAGAATAAACAGACATATGGACAGATATTAAACATCTTCCATACTGTGTCACCCAGGTTTGACTGCATATAGGAAAATAACTTACTCCTTTGCTAGCCTAGGAATTTAAACCTTTAAAAAGTGAGTGACAATTATTGTATTTCGTAGAAACGCTTAG